>NT_187366.1:0-42210 GCF_000001405.40 Homo sapiens
TGTGTATGTGTATGTGTATGTATGTGTATGTGTATGTGTATATGTATATGTATATGTAGTCCTCAGGTTGTATTCCTTAAATATATATAATATATGTAATTCCTTAAATATATAATTTTAATACAAAATTTTTAAAAGATTCCTTTCATAAACATTTACAATAACACCAAGAAATATAAACTACATAGCAAAGATGTGAAAGCCAGCCAGGCGCAGCTTCAAATCCTAGCGCTTAGGAAGGCTGTGGCAGGAGGGTCGCTTGAGCTCAGAAGCTTGAAACTAGCTTAGGCAACATAGTGAGACCTCATCTCTACTGAAAATCAGAAAAATTATCCGGCTGTGGTGGTGTGAGCCTGTAGTCCCAGGTACTCAGTGGATGAGGCCCTAGGATGTCATCGGCCTGAGAATTCCATGCTGCAGTGAGCTGTGTGATCTTGCCACTGTACTCCAGCCTGAGTGAAAGAGTGAGATCGTGTCTAGAAACAAAAGAAGAAAAAAAAAAAGGTGTGAAAGCCTATATATTGAAGATTACCACGTATTACTGAGAGCAGTTAAAGACCTTTGGAATAGAGAACGTTCCTTCTTGCATTTCAAGATTGCTTTTGTTTTGGGGGGACACTTGCTGTTTTTTAGGAACATGAAGTTCTTCTCAGGCATTCCTGTAAAAAAAGCCACTTTTTGATAGGATTGTATTGAGTCTGTGGATTGCTTTGAGTTGTATTTTTATCTTAACCATGTTACAACTTCCAACCCATGGACACAAGATGTCTTTCCATTGATTTAGGTCTTCCTTAGTCTCCTCGAGCAATGTTCTGTAGTTGTCTGTGTACAAGTACTGCAACTTCTTGAACAAATTTATTCCCAGGCATATTATCCTTACAGGTGCTATTATAAATGAAATCATTGTGTCAGTTTACTTCTCAGATAGCTCATTGCCATCACAATGGATTGTTTGCTGAAAGTTTGCTGAATTCACTTATTAACTCTGATAGTGTGTGTGTGTGTGTGTGTGTGTGTGTGTGTGTGTGTCTGGTGTCTGTGTGCATGTATGTGTGTTTGCCTTTGTATGTATTGTTTGGGATTTTCTATGCATAGGATCACACCATCTGCAAATTGAGATCATTTTGTTTTCTGTTCAAAAATATTTTTTCTCATGTTTATTTTTGAAAGATAATTTGGCCAGGTGTAGACTTGTAGGTGACAGTTTTTCTTTTTTTAAGTACTTTATTGCAAACTTCTTGTTTGTAAAATTTCCTATGAGAAATCTTATGCCATCCTTATATTTAGTGCTCTGTATGTAACATGTTCTTTTCCCTTTTATTACTTTTAGGATTTCCTTTTTATCACTGGTTTTGATGGATTTGATTAAGGTGTTCCTTGGTGAAGTTTTCTGCATGTTTCTTGTTCTTGGGATAATCATATTTCTGTAATATTTGAAGTTTATGATTTCCATGGAGCTTCTAAATCTTTCATCCAGTATGTTTTAAATATCTTTGTCTCTCTTCTCCACTACCTGCCCTTCAGGGATTCCATTTAGCCCTATACTAGGGTGTTTAAAGTTTTGATGCTGATGGTCTTTATGTGTTTTCAAGTCATTTGTTAATGTGTGTTTCATTTATGTTAGTTTCAACTTCTATTCCTTCTAGTTTAATAATCTTCTCTTCTGCAATATTTAATCCAGTGCCTTCTTCCATTTCACACTGTAAATCATAGTTTTTATCTACAGAATTTGATATTTAAAAAATCTTCAACCTCTCCATTTAATTAAAATACAATTATACTAATTGCGGTAACGTCCTTTTCTTCTATTTCCAACGTGTGTGTCAATTTCAACCAGATTATTAGATTCTTCAGTATGTGTCATGTTTTCCTGCTTCTTTGACTGCTTGATATTCTTTTATTTTTATTTATTTGTTTTTGGGGGGATGGAGTTTCACTCTCGTTGCCCAGTCTGGAGTGCAATTGTGTGATCTCAGCTCACTGCAACCTCTGCCTCCCAGGTACTCAAGCGATTCTCCTGTCTCCGCCTCCCAAGTAGCTCAGATTACAGGCATGCACCATCATGCCCAGCTAAACTTTTTGTGTTTAGTAGAGACAGGGCTTCACCATGCTAGTCAGGCTGGTCGTGAACTCCTGACCTCAGGTGATCCACCCGGCTGCTTGATATTCTAAGATTTGATGCTGGAGCTTTGGTGTCAATGCTCAAAAGTGCCCAAAGACACCACTCAACCTCAGTGTCTATGCACACCCAAGCTTTTGCAACAGGAGAGGTAGAGACAGCAGAGATGAATGTGCTACAACATGCTGGTAGAAGGTACCCCAATTGTGCTTGGGGCTTCCTATGCCTCATAGAATAATGTGCCTTCCTTAATTTTTCCCATAAGAACCACCCTACTTCATGCCCTGTCTCTCTGTCCAAACACCAGGACAGCCCTCAGACCAGTCTCAACCACCCAATGGATTGACAAAGGTCCAAATATGATTCAGTGGAGAAGGCATTCTCTTGTCAACAAATTGTGTAGAAACAACTGGACATGCATATCCCCAAAGGAAAAAGATTCACCTGAACCTCAATACTGACTCAAAAACTAACTCAAAATGGATTATGCAACTAAATATAAACTATAAAAGTAGAAAAAGTATAGCAGGAAATATAAGACAAAATCTTCACGACACAGTTAGGCAAAGTGTTCTTTGTTATCAAGAAACACAAACCATTAAAGAAAACATTGATAAATTCAACTTTATAAAAAGTAAAAGTTTTTGCTCAACACGAGACAGTATTAAGAGAACAAATATAAGCTGCAGATTGGGAGAAAAACAGGGGAAATGACAAATGTGACAAAGGACAAGTGTGATAGTTACTTGCACGTATCACTGTGACTGAGCACCAGGGTGCCGGGACATTCGGCCAAATGTGATTCTGGTTGTGTTCCAGAGAGTGTTTCACATATGATTAACATCGGGATGGGCAGACTAAGTGAAGCAGATTGCCCCCCTTAACGGGGGTGGGACTCATGCAATCAATCAAAGGTCAGGAGAGAATTAAGAGGCCTAATGGGAAACAAATGCTTTCCTGGGTATCCAGCTTTCCTTCCATCTTGGGAATTTCAGCCTCCATAATCTCAGAAACAAATTCACATATGTATACACACACATATACATTTCATAGGTATGTGGCTAAGATTGTATTTTTAAAAGTTCAGCCATGAGATGATTGGTGAAGCCAGCCAATGAATAAGGGTGTGTTCTATTATATGACTCAGTCTTCTTTTGTACACGATTGAAGTTCTGCATTTGAAGTAGGAGGACAGGAGAGAGCAAGTCCACCTAGGATGATAACAGCTGAATTTCTCAACAGACACTTCAAAGCCCTAGGGGTTAACTTAGAGAGTCAAAAATCCCACCCATAACCCTGCCCCTAAACGCCAGGACTAGGGAACACTGTGGCCCTCAGGTGATTTTGTTTCACTTGGTCTGGGAGCCACACAAGGGCAGAGGGAGCAGGAAACACTAAGCAAATCGAGGCCAGGACAGCAGGGAGGGCCTGTTCATGACAGAACACAGGTAAAACTATCCTCAGAAAGAGCATGTGGAGAAACATAGATCATGCCTGAGACCTGGTGGATTAGAGCACTGGCTACTGGGGAATTGAAAGGAAGGGGCTTCACCATGCAGAGGACCAGAGGTGCCAGTCTTGGAAACGCAGAATTGCTGGGAGATGGGGAGGCATGGACAAAGGAAGCATCCTCTGGAGACTCATGGTGAAGAGAACAAATGAAGTAACTGGCAGAAATTATAGGTCCTGGTAGAACAAAATAGAATCCCACAATGAGAACATACAGCATGTATGTCCCGCAAGGAAGACAATAGCTCCTAAAAATGCAAGAAAAATCATTTTGGGCAAACACCTTATATCCAGTAATGCGATCCATGTATCAAGACCACGAGGAAGATTATTAAACATGCTAAACTCAGCGAGACCTGATTCCCTCATGAGGACTCTGTTAAGGATGAGTACCACTCAGCAAGTGATGACTGTGACATTCACTTTTGAACAGCTCATGAGCATTAATATATTTAATTGTGGATCTAAACCAAAAACCAAGGTGTGGGCAAGATGACAACCACAGAATGTCACTGGCATATGTTTAGGTTCAAATACCATTATGAGAAGTGGCAGGTAAAGGAGGTAGGAAAAAGAAAACACATCATGTAACTGACTGTCATATGGAAATATTTGACGTTGAAAGTCATAATTTAAAATGTATAAACCAAATATTAGAAGTGTGTCTAGTTCAAAGGGGGGAAAACTATGAAACATTTTTAATCAATATCAAACATGAGCTACACAACCCTTCCTAAATGCCAGAGGCACACACAGACACACACACACACACTCTCACAAAGAATATAAATATCTAGAACCAAGAAATGGAGTAAATGCATTCTGCTACATATGGTAAACATAGCCTACAAGGTGGAAGAGATTAGAAAATAAACAGGGAAATGGAAATGTTTTTATTAATTCACATCAGTACCCACCAAAACCAATCAGCATAACAAAAGATTATAACACTGAATGTAAAAAACAATCCAACAGTCCAGAGTGATAGGCAAAAGCTTTTAATTGTATAGATTAAAATAACTTTGGACAAAAATTAAAACTCAGGCAGAGAATGTTTTTTTTTTCAACAACACACACTAGCAAAAACAAAGGCACAGTAAACATTGAGGCAGAAAGTTTCCAGCGTAGAGATATGAATATAATAATAGACACAGGCAGGGATGATTAATAAATGATAAAATGTTTACAGGATGATCATTGGAATACAGGACATTTCTAATTTTGAAAACCACCCTCCCAAATACTTCATTATAAGTAAGGTGTCTCTAAAAGGGACAGATCTCCTAGACCCCTCCTTAACCAAGTAACCAGTCCTGATATCATGATAATGCTGATGGACAAACTAGACCTTCTCTGCCCGCAGATGGGCTAAGGTTGGAAACTCACAGCATTGTCTCTGCAGTGTTCCCGGCAAAACGTTTAGGCTGAATTTAATCATGAAGACATTTTCAGACAACTTCAGAATGTAGATCATTGAGCCAGAGAGCTGACCTGTCCTCTATAAACAAGTCCATGTCACCACCATCAATGACAACAACAAAAAGATGAGGAAATATTTGGGGTTCAAAATAACTAAAGAAATGCAGCTATATTATCTTTTTACTTTTTTTGAACCCAAAATATCTCTTCTCCTTTTTGTTGTGTGATTTGTGGTGATATGGACTATGTGAAGGAGACAGGTCAGTTGTCCTGCTCAGTGTTCTACATTCTGCAGTTGTCTGGTAATTACCTCCTATGAAACTCAGGCTAAGCGTTTTCTGCAAGAACATGGCGTTGTTCATATTCTGCACCGGCAGAGTCCTGGGTGACATGCTGTCTCCTGCCAGCGGCTCCTGACTCCTGTTCTCTACAGGATGGAATCGAGAGGAGCAGGGCTAAGGCCTCCCAATGCTGTTTGTCCATCTAGCTGTGGTCTTCCTAAGTACTGACACCAATTGGAGGCTGAAGGACTGTGGCTTCTCTAACCAAAGGAGCCTAGCGGGTTAACAATTGTCAAGAGCAGTTGGTGGTTCTGAAATACAATCCTCAGCCAAGGATCCCTCCTGTGTTAAAGATGGATCAGCTAAAACAATTCAACACTGAAGATACAAAGAATGAGGTTAGGTTCATTGAAACCAGGGTAACACCTTTGGATGAGCTAAACACAAAGATGACACTGACCTTGAGCAGGTATAGAAGCTCAGAGACATGACTGCAAAATGAAATCCCTGAGGAACTTTGTAGCTACCCAGAGATAAGTGGTTCAAATTAAAATGTCTGACTGATCACTCCCGGCATGTGCTGCACAGTTATGTGAACGTGTCACACCTAACTTGGGTCCATTGTCTTCAGACTGAGCACAGGTTGCCACTGGCATGGTCTGAGAATAGGAATAGAGCCATGCCCACTGACCCATCCTATGTCTGGGCTTCCAAATGGAACTATAGTTTCATTCAAATCTTCACGTGCCTATAGGTCCTGCCTGCAGGAATGACATCTCTCGGCTTAGTAAGGGCTGCTTACTGTGGGAATATGACTCCCATCTGGAAGACCAGGTGGAGACTTGTTCCCATCAAAGTAAGAAACCTATTGTCCACGTCAAGGGCGAAGCTGATGTGCTGTTCCTCAAATGAGTAAAACACACTTCTGTAGTGCTGGAATGAGTCAGGTAGTTCAAAGTACATTGACGGAGTCGAATAACATCTATCCAGTGAGTCCTGCAAGACTTCAGGCTCTTCCACTTCCATCAGCATGCCGCTGAGCCTGGAAAAGCAGACAAAACTAAAGAAGCAGCCAGGGAAAATCAGACACCACAGAGCCCCACTAGATTTCAGAAGTAACGTAAGGAAGTGGTAAGAAAAGAAAAGGATAGATCCATTAGATCCATTAATGAGGTAAAAAAAAAAAATTATTGCCTTTATGTTGGGATAGAAAAGGGCCAGGTAGAAAACAATGAAAGAGAAAGACAGAGAGACAGAGACAGAGACAGAGACAGAGAGAAAGTGAGCTAGTGAATTGGCCAGGTGACATACTGGTAAGGGAGTAAAAGGACACTCTGAGTTAGTGCCCTCATGACACACAGCACACTGCGATCATGAAAAGAGTGAGCTCAATAGTTTTCCATAAAATATGCTCAAAATTCGATGCAGTGGCCATGAGAGTACAGCTTTTGAAGTATGGTCATCCTATGGTACGTTAGTAAATGATAAGGGGAGGAAGAAATGGAAACCTAAACATCTACTGCAATGAAAACCAACAGCAATGACAGTAGGAGTAATTCAGCCTTCGTTGAAAACATGAAATCAAACACACTCTGGTTTCCCTCAATCTGTTGCCTCCAGGTGTTAACACAGAATTAAGCATCCACAATTGCTGAAAGTTACCTGGGGCATGGTGGGTTTTGATCTTCTTCCCCTTCTTTTCTTCCCCTTCTCCTTCTTTTCTTCGTTGATCTTCTTCCCCTTCTTTTCTTCCCCTTCCCCTTCTTTTCAATTTCTGCAATAAATTCAGACATGGACAGACACATTAAGCTGATTCCCCTACACACATAACAATCCACTGTCTAACCCTCACACAGGGACCTCAGGCTCCTCAGCATAAGAATAGGAGACTGTGAGAGATATATTTCAGGAGGCCTGAAGGCTGGTCATGATAGAAATTCCTCGGTTTTTCTCCCAGAAACTGTGGGTAAAATGTCCCTATTCTAGTAGATCGTTATCCCAATATCATTTGTCCCGAGTTTGTGCAAACAGTTATGCCATATTTTTCCAATCAATTTAAAGCAAATACCCTCAAATGATTTCTAGGAGAAAAACTGCAATATTTAGCCCTGTCTCATCAAATACTCAGATTGTTCATGGTTGTGAGGACTTTAGACACTGAAATTAGAGTGAAAAAGGAAATCTACAAACCCTTGAGTCAAAATCATAGTTCTCTGAATTTGTCACATCTGCCCAGGTCCAATGTCATGAGAGTAGAATCAGAGTGCCACAGGCATGGCCTGAGACTAGGAAGAGAGCCATGCTCACTGACCCATCCCATGTCTGGGCTTCCAGTTAGAACTAGAGTTTCATTCAACCTACATGTGCCTACAGGTCCTCACTGCAGCAATGACATCTCTCAGCTCAGTAATGGCCACTTGGAGCAGGAATATGATCTTTATATGGAAGACTCAGTGGATCCTTATCACCTTCATAGAAAGGTACTCACCTCCCACGTCAAGAGAAAAGCCAACATGTTTTTCCTCCAATGCATAAAAGGAACTTCCATAGGGCAGGCAGGAGTCAGGCTGTTCAAGACAACTGGAAGGAGTTGAATAACATCTATCCAGTGAGTCCTGCAAGACTTCAGGCTCTACTGCCTCCAGCAGCTCCCTGCTGAGCCTGGAAAAGGAGGAAAAAGTAAAGAATAAGCCAGGGGAAATCAGACACAACAGAGCCCCAACTAGGTTTCATGGGTAGCATAAGGAAGTGGTTGAAAAAGTAAAAGGAGAGATCCATTAATGAGGTAACAAATTATTGCTTTCATGTTGGGACAGAACAGGGCCAAATGGAAAAGAATGAAAGAGAAAGACACACACACACACACACACACACACACACACAGAGAATGAGCTCAGTGAATTGTCCAGGTGACACACTGATGAGGGAGTAACAGGACACTCTGAGTTAGTGCCCTCAGGACACACAGCATACAGTGATCAGGAAAGGACTGTGCTCAATAATTTTCCATAAAATGTGCTCAAGTTTCCATGCAGTCGCCATGAGAATACAGTTTTTGAAGTCTGGTCCACCTACAGTAGGTTAGTAAATGATAAGGGGAGGAAGAAATGGAAACCTAAATATCTACTGCAATGAAAACCAACAGCAATGTTAGTAGGAATAATTCAGGCTCGGTTGAAAAGATGTAATCGATAATGTCAGCCCGCCCTGTTTTCCCTGAACCAGGAGTCTCCAGATGTCAACACAGAAGTAGCTGTTCACAATTGCTCAGTTACCTGGGGCATGGTGGGCCTTGGTCTTCTTCCTCTTCCTGGTCCTTTTTAATTCCTGCAATACATTCAGACAGGGACAGACAAAATAAGCCAATTCACCTACACCCGTAACAGTCCACTGTCTAATCCCCACACAGGGATCTCAGGCTCCTCAGCAAGAGAACAGGACAATGTGAGAGATATACTTCAGGAGGCCTGAAAGCTGGTCATGATATTCTTTGGTTTGCATCTCAGAACCAAGGGTGAAATATCCCTATTCTGGTAGATCGTTATCCCAAAATCATTTATCCCAAGTTTGTGCAAACAGTTATGCCTGATTGTTCCCATCAGTTCAAAGACAATGCCCCAGATGATTTCTAGGAGGAAAACTGCAGTATTCAGCCCTGTCTCATCAAATGCCCAGCTCGTTCATGGATGCAAGAATTTTAGACACTGAAATTAGAATGAGGGAGGAAATCTACAAACCCTTGAGTCCAAATCATAGTTCTGTGAATTTTTTACATCTGCCTGGGTCCAATGTGCTGAGAGCGGGCTCAGGTTGCCACAGGCATGGCTGGAGACTAGGAATAGAGCCTTGCTCACTGACCCATTTCATGTCTAGGCTTCCAGCGGAGACTACAGTTTCATTACAACCTATATGCGCCCATAGGTCCTGCCTGCGGCAATGACATCTCTCGGGTCAGTAAGGGCCACTGGGAACAGGAATATCACCCCTATCTGGAAGACCAGGTGGAGGCTTATCACCTTCATAGTAAGGTACTCACTGTCCACGTCAAGAGCCAAGCCAAGGTACTGTTCCTCCAATGAGTAAACAGCACTTCTGTAGGGCTGGCCTAAGTCAGGCAGTTCAAGATAACCTGAAGGAGTCGAATAACATCTATCCAGGGAGTCCTGCAAGACTTCAGGCTCTTTCTCATCCAGCAGCTCCCTGCTGAGCCTGGAAAAGTAGGAAAAAGTAAAGAATAAGCCAGGGGGAATCAGAAACCACACAGCCCCAGCTACATTTCATGGCTAACATAAGGAACTGTTTAAACAGAAAAAGGACAGATCCATTAATGAGGTAATGAATTATTGCCTTTATGTTGGGATAGACCAGGGCCAGGTAGAAAAGAATGAAAGAGAAAGACAGGGAGAGGGAGAGGGAGAGAGAGACAGAGGAGAAAGTGAGCTCAGCGAATTGGCCGGGTGACACACTGATGAAGGGGTCAAAGGACACTCTGAGTTAGTGCCCTCGGGACACACAGAGAACAGTGATCATGAAAAGAGTGGGCTCAATAATTTTCCATAAACTTGCTTAAGATTCCATGCAGTTGCCATACAGCCTTTGAGGTATGGTCAACCTACAGTAAGTTAGTAAATGATAAGGGGAGGAAGAAATGGAAACCTAAACATCTACTGCAAGGAAAACCAACAGCAATGTCAGTAGGAGTAATTCAACCTTCGTTGAAAACATGAAATTGAACATACTCTTGTTTTCCCTGGACCTGGCATCTCCAGGTGTCAACACAGAATTAAGCATCCATAATTGCTCAAAGTTACCTGGGGCATGATGGGTCTTGGTCTTCTTCCACTTCTTGGTACTTTTCAATTTCTGCAATAAGTTCAGACATGGACAGACATATTAAGCTGGTTCTCCTACACACATAACAATCCACTGTCTAATCCTCACGCAGGGACTTCAGGCTCCTCAGCATGAGAATAGGACACTGTGAGAGATCTTCTTCAGGAGGCCTGAAGGCTGATCATGATAGAGATTCCTGGGTTTTTGTCCCAGAAACTGTGGGTAAAATTCCCTATTCTGGTAGATCGTTATCCCAAGATCATTTGTCCCAAGTTTGTGCAAATGGTTATGCCATATTTTTCCAATCGATTTAAAGCAAATGCCCCCAAATGGTTGCTGGGAGAAAAACTGCAATATTCAGCCCTGTCTCATCAAATACTCAGATTCTTCATGGTAGCGAGGATTTTAGACGCTGAAATTAGAGTGAAGGATGAAATCTACAAGATCTACAAAATTGAGACAAAATCAGAGTTGTGTGAATTTGTCACATCTGCCCAGATCCAACATCTTGAGAGTAGGATTAGGGTGCCACAGGCATGGCCTGAGACTAGGAAGAGAGCCCTGCTCACTGACCCATCCCTTGCCTGGGCTTCCAAGTGGAACTAGAGTTTCATTCAACCTACATGTGCCTATAGGTCCTCCCTGTGGCAATGACATCTCTCAGCTCAGTAAGGGCCATTTGCAGTAGGAATATGACCCTAACCAGAAGACTCAGTGGATCCTTATCACCTTCATAGAAAGGTACTCACCATCCATGTCAAGAGCCCAGCCAACACGCTGTTGCTCCAATATGTAAAAGGCACTTCTGTAGGGCTGGCATGAGTCAGTCAGTTCAAGATAACCTGAAGGAGTTGAATAACATCTATCCAGTGAGTCCTGCAAGACTTCAGGCCCTTTCTCATCCAGCAGCTCCCTGCTGAGCCTGGAACAGTGGGAAAAAGTAAAGAATAAGCCAGGGGGAATCAGAAACCACACAGCCCCAGCTAGATTTCATGGCTAACATAAGGAAGAGTTTGAAAAGAAAAAGGACAGATCCATTAATGAGGTAACAAATTATTGCCTTTATGTTGGGATTGACTAGGGCCAGGTAGAAAAGGATGAAAGAGAAAGACACACACACACACACACACACACACACACACACACACACACAGAGTGAGCTCAGTGAATTGGCCAGGTGACACACTGATGAGGGAGTCAACGGTCATTCTCTATTTGAGCTCTCAGGACACACAGTGAACAGTGATCATGAGAAGCATGGCCTCAATAATTTTGCATAAAATGTGCTCAAGTTTCCCTGCAGCCACCATGAGAATACAGCTTTTGAGGTATGGTCAACCTTCACTAGGTTAGTAAATGATAAGGGTAGGAAGAAATGGAAACCTAAACATTTACTCTAATGAGAACCAAAAAGCAATGTAGTAGGCATAATTTAGACTTGTCTGACAAGACAAAATCATTATTTTCAGCATGTACTGTTTTCCCTGGACTTGGCATCTCCAGGTGTCAACATCAAATTAACTGTCCACAATTTCTCAGACTCACCTGGGACCTGTTGCCTCTTGGTCCTCCTTTTTCACTTGATCCCACCGATGTCCTGCAAATAAATTCAGATGGGGCCTCTTACATTAAGCAGTTCTTCCTTGCACACAGAAACATTCCTCTGTCCAATCCTAACACAGGTACATCAGTCTGGTCAGTGTGAGAACAGGAGACTTTGAGAGAAATATTCCAGTAGGCCTGAGGTCAAGTCTTGAGAAAACTGGCTTGGGTTCTTTCATGAGCCTTGGGCAAAATTACCCTGTTTTGGAATGTTATCTTCCCTATGTGCTCTGTCCTAGGTTTGTGTACACAAATGAGCAACTTTTTCCCCAATAAATTGTAGGCAAATAGTTCTAACACCTCATAGGAGAGATACTTCAATATTAAGCTTTCTCTCATCAAATACCCAGAATTTGATAGTTTATGAGATTGTGGACACAGAGATTTGATGAAGGGGTGCAATGTACCAGCTCTTGAGTCAAAATGAAACTTGGTTCTACACAGAAGCATCAGCTATTATGGCTTTTGTGGGTGAAAAGTCAGCCATTTATCTAGAAAATATACCAGGAACATGACGGACAGATGAGCTAAAGCAAGCGAACTTAGAAGACACAGAAAATGGGAATAAATTCAGTGAAACCTGGGCCACATCTTTCACTGAGAGGTAGACAAGGGTGACACTTGCCTTGGGCAGGTAAAGAACCACACAGACATGCTTTGGGAACAAAACTCATAAGGAATTTTGTAGCTGGCAAGAGACATTTAATTCAGATGAGCTGATCTGACAGACAACTCCTGGTCATGTGCTGCATAGTTTGGTGTGAGCTTGCCACACCTGCCTTGAGTTCAATGTCGTGACAGTCAGTCCAGGTTGGCACGGGCATGGCCTGAGACTAGGAAGAGAGCAAAGCTCACTCACCCACCCCATGCCTGTGCTTCAGACTCGACTCCAGAGTGATTGAAATCTACATTGATATATAGGTTCAGCCCACAGTGATGGCAAATCTCAGCCCAACAAGGGGCACAAGGCCCAAAGATTATGGGGTCTACCTGGGCCATGAACTGGAGCTTTATCACCTTCACAATGGAGTACTCACCGCCTATGTCAACAGCCATGCAGACTTGCTGTTCCTCTAATGAGTGAAATGTGCCGCTGTAAGACTGGTACGAGGCCAACATTTCAGGAGGAATTGAGAGAGTCGAATAACCTTCATCCCAGGACTCCTGGGGGACTTCCTCCTCTTCAGACTCCTGCAGATTCCTGATGAGCCAGGCAGGACAGGGATGATAGAAGATTTAACCAACAGACATTAGACAACAAAACCTCCCAGATGATCTGATGGGAGACAGAATGGAGTGGTCACAGAAACCAAAGGCATTTTTCCTTCAAGAGAAATAAAACTAGCCTTCTAAATACAGGGTGGAGGGTGACTGCTCTGGGGACAGAGCAAAAATGGGCAGCATGTGCTCAGTACATTTGCCACAGATGAGCCAACTCAGGGCACCCAGACTCTCCCTGTAAACTACCATCATGACTTGCAGCACAGAGAACTGACACAGGGCTTCAACTACTTTGCATAAATTGGGTTGAATTTTACATGCAGCATTCAAGTGAAGAGAGTTCTTGACGCAGTGCAGACACAGATCTTGTGTATTAAGGGCCCCATTTTCCCAATATTTTGATATAATATATTTACCTTTTCAATTTCTTTTCTTGCAAAAATACTAGCCAACATACTACCAACGAATAGGAAGAAAGCATATATACATCTCTCCCTGGATTTAAACACATGGGAGAGAATAGGCAACACCAAGAAATCCCTGTTTGAGGGTCTGGAGTGGACTTCCAGCAAACTCCAACAGACCTGAAGCTGAGGGACCTGATTGTTAGAAGGAAAACTAACACACAGAAAGGAATAGCATCAACATCAACAAAAAAGACATCCACCCCAAAACCCCATCTGTAGGTCGCCATCATCAAAGACCAAGGGTAGATAAAACCACAAAGGTGGGGAGAAACCAGAGCACAAAAGCTGAAAATTCCAAAAACCTGACATCCCTTCTCCTCCAAAGGATCACAGCTCCTCGCCAGCAATGGAACAAAGCAGGATGGAGAATGACTTTGATGAGCTGACAGAAGTAGGCTTCAGAAAGTCGGTAATAACAAACTTCTCTGAGCTAAAGGAGGATGTGCGAACTCATCGCAAGGAAGCTAAAAACCTTGAAAAAAGATTAGACGAATGGCCAACCAGAATGAACAGTGTAGAGAAGACCTTAAATGACCTGATGGAGCTGAAAACCATGGCACGAGAACTACGTGATGCATGCACAAGCTTCAGTAGCCAATTCGATCAAGTGCAAGAAACGGTATCAGTGATTCAAGATCAAATTAGTGAAATGAAGCGAGAAGAGAAGTTTAGAGAAAAAAGAGTAAAAAGAAATGAACAAGCCTCCAATAAATATGGGACTATGTGGAAAGACCAAATCTACGTTTGATTGGTGCACTGAAAGTGACGGGGAGAATGGAACCAAGCTGGGAAACATTCTTCAGGATATTATCCAGGAGGACTTCCCCAACCTTGTAAGGAAGGCCAACATTCAAATTCAGGAAACACAGAGAACACCATAAAGATACTCCTCGAGAAGAGCAACCCCAAAACACATAATTGTCAGATTCACCAAGGTTGAAATGAAGGAAAAAATGCTAAGTGCAGCCAGAGAGAAAGGTCGGATTACCCACAAAGGGAAGCCCATCAGACTAGCAGCAGATCTCTTGGCACAAACCCTACAAGCCAGAAGAGAGTGGGAGCAATATTCAACATTCTTTTTTTTTTTCCATATGTATAGTTTTCCTTTATTATTTTTTGTGTGTATGTATATATATGTATATATATTTTTTAATACTTTAAGTCTTAGGGTACATGTGCACAACGTGCAGGTTAGTTACATATGTATACATGTCCACATTGGTGTGCTTCACCCATTAACTCATCATTTAACATTAGGTATATCTCCTAATGCTACCCCTCCTCCCTCCCCACACCCTACAACAGGCCCCAGTGTGTGATGTTCCCCTTCCTGTGTCCATGTGTTCTCATTGTTCAATTCCCACCTGTGAGTAAGAACATGCGGTACTTGGCTTTTTGTCCTTGCGATAGTTTGCTGAGAATGATGGTTTCCAGCTTCATCCATGCCCCTACAAAGGACATGAACTCATCATTTTTTATAGCTGCATAGTATTCCATGGTGTACACGTGCCACATTTTCTTAATCCAGTCTATCATTGCTGGATATTTGGCTTGGTTCCAAGTCTTTGCTATTGTGAATAGTGCCGCAATAAACATATGTGTGCATGTGTCTTTACAGCAGCATGATTTATAATCCTTTGGGTATACACCCAGTAATGGGATGGCTGGGTCAAATGCTATTTCTAGTTCTAGATCCCTGAGGAATTGCCACACTGCCTTCCACAATCGTTGAACTAGTTTACACTCCCACCAACAGTGTAAAAGTGTTCCTATTTCTCCACATCCTCTCCAGCATCTTCAACATTCTTAAAGAAAAGAATTTTCAATCCAGAATTTCATATCCAGCCAAACAAAGCTTCATAAGTGAAGGAGAAATAAATCCTTTACAGAGAAGCAAATGCTGAGAGATTTTGTCACCACCAGGCCTGCCTTACAAGAGCTCCTAAAGGAAACACTAAACATGGAAAGGAACAACCGGTACCAGCCACTGCAAAAACATGCCAAACTGTAAAGACCATTGACGCTAGGAAGAAACTGCATCAACTAACGGGCGAAATAACCAGCTAACATCATAACGACAGGCTCAAATTCACACATAACAATATTAACCTTAAATGTAAATGGGCTAAATGCCCCAGTTAAAAAACACAGAATGGCAAATTGGACAAAGAGTCAAGACCCATCAGTGTGCTGTACTCAGGAAACCCATCTCACATGCAGAGACACACATAGGCTCAAAATAAAGGGATGGAGGAAGATCTACCAAGCAAATGGAAAGCAAAAAAATGCAGGGGTTGCAATCCTAGTCTCTGATAAAACAGACTTTAAACCAACAAAGATCAAAGGAGACAAAGAAGGCCACTACATAATGGTAAAGGGATCAATTCAACAAGAAGAGTTAACTATCCTAAATATATATGCACCCTATACGGGAGCACCCAGATTCATAAAGCAAGTCCTGAGAGACCTACAAAGAGATTTAGACTCCACACAATCATAATGGGAGACTTTAACACCCCACTGTCAATATTAGACAGATCAATGAGACAGAAGCTTTACAAGGATATCCAGGACTTGAACTCAGCTCTCCACCAAGCAGACCTAAAAGACATCTACAGAACTCTCCACCCCAAATCAACAGAATATACATTCTTCTCAGCACCACATCACACTTATTCCAAAATTGACCACATAGTTGGAGGTAAAGCACTCATCAGCAAATGTAAAAGAATGGAAACCACAACAAACTGTCAGACCACAGTGCAATCAAATTAGAACTCAGGATTAAGAAACTCACTCAAAACCGCACAACTACATGGAAACTGAACAACCTGCTCCTGAATGACTACTGGGAAAATAACAAAATGAAGGCAGAAATAAAGATGTTCTTTGAAACCAATGAGAACAAAGACACAACATACCAGAATCTCTGGGACACATTTAAAGCAATGTGTAGAGGGAAAATTATAGCACTAAATGCCCACAAGAGAAAGCAGAAAAGATCTAAAATTGACACCCTAACATCACAATTAAAATAACTAGAGAAGCAAAGCAAACAAATTCAAAAGCTAGCAGAAGACAAGAAGTAACTAAGATCAGAGCAGAACTAAAGGAGATAGAGACACAAAAAACCCTTCAAAAAATCAATGAATCCAGGGCTGGTTTTTTGAAAAGATCAACAAGAAAACCCTGTTTGGCTAGTTCACCTGGCTCATCTGATGGCAAGTTCCTATCTTGAGAGGACTATGAAATTAAAACCAATACAAGTGCCACAAATAACATACAACATTGTAAATCAGCACAATTTGTAGCTGGGTGAATGGAAGAAATAGTTCTATTCATCACTTCCTCATTTTCCCTAAATCTACAATCTCCAGATGTCACTACTGAATTAACAGCCAACAATTCCACAACATTACCTGGGAGACACTGGCCCTTTTTCTTCCTCTTCCTCATCATCACTTTCATTTTCTGTAAATAAATTCAGAGAAGCAGGTCACATTAAGCAATTCATACTTCACATATGACCAAATCACTGTCCAGTCATAGCACAAGGACATAACTATTCTCAGTGCAAGAATAAGGATTCTGACAGGAATATTCTAGGGTGCCCTAGATTAACTTTGGTGAGAATTAGATGACCCTGCTTTCCAGACCCACAGGCCAAAATCTCCCTCTACGTGTACACCATAATGCCATATTCCCTGCCTGAGTCAAAGTTAAACAAAATTTTTTCCCCAAAAAAATCTCCAAAAATTGGTCCATTTTCTAAGAGTGTTGCTGCAATACGGACTTATATCACCAGATAACATGGACATTAAATGTTTAGAGGCATCTATACATGAAACACGACTGATAGATAAATTTGAACAACTCTTCCTTTAAAAAGAATCTGTGATTTGGGAGGCCAAGACAGGTGAATCATTTGAGGTCATGAGTTCAGGACTACCCTGGCCAATATGGGGAAACCCTGTCTCTACTAAAAATACAAAAATTAGCCAGATGTGATGTTGTGCACCTGTGGTCCCAGCAACTCAGGAGGCTGAGGCAGGAGAATCACTTGAATCTGGGAGGCAGAGGTTGCACCAAGCCAAGATGGTGCAACTGCACTCTAGCCTGGGTGACAGAGCAAGACTCCATCGCAAAAAAAAAAAAAAAAAAAAAAAAAAAAAAAAAAAAAAAAAAATCCACGATGCTACAAAGAAACATTGGATCAGCCATTGCATTGACAGGGTGGAGAACCAGGGTCCAGCCTTGCTTTATGGAAATATATCAGCAAAGTAAAGAAGAAAAGTTTCCGTCCTGATTTCAGGGTGACTGTGCAGCTAAGCAAGCTGACTTAAAGGAGATCCAGATGAAAGCTGAGAGCAGTGAAGCCTGGGGAACAATATTTCCAAATACAAAGGCAAGGCTGCCAGCTTCCTGAAACAGGCATAGAAACTCCATGGACATTGTTCAGGGACAGATGACTTAATCACAGATGACAAGAGATACTGAATCGAAGCTAGGAGGCCTGACAGATACTGCCTGTGCACCTCCTGCACTCAGGTGACTATGAGATTGTCACACTTGCCTGGGGTCGAGTAACTTGATACTGGGGACTGGCAGACAAAGGCATGACATTAGCTGAGAAGGACAAAAAAACTCCCTGATATCTGTTTAGAAACCCATCATAGTTTTTTATTCAAATGAATTTGTGTTTATAGAGCCTGTCTTCAGAGTTTATCTTCCTCAGCCTAGAGAGAGGTATGAGACACAAGGAAAACAGAGGCTACCTGGGATAATGTGTACAGCATCCTCCCATTCAACATGAGAGGATGAGCCAATGAGAGTTGAGTCGACTTTGTCTTCCTCAAATGTGATTTTGGTTTTCCTATGTGGCTGGTTGGAGTCATAAGGGCCATGGCTATTTGAACAAGTGATGGCACATTCCTCCAGTGAGTCCTCAGGGACTTCCTTTTCTTCAGCCTTCTGCATCTCCCTGATGAGCCAGGTGGGACAGAGATGACAGAAGATTAAACACAGAGGGATTGGACCCCATGGAGTCCTAGCTGGTTTTGACAGGCGGCATTAAGAGAGTGGTCCCAGAAAGCAAAATGGAGGTTCCCATTAAGAGGGAACATGCAATCCTGTTCTCTCTGCAACAGAGCATGGCTGCCATGGGAACCAGAGAGGAAGAGAGCAGCTGGTGTTCATTGCACTGGACAGATAGGAGCTGAGGAGGATGAAGACTCAGCTATCCCTGTACGGTGCAGACATGACACTCGGCACACATAGAGAAACATGACAGCTGCCGCACCCTGTGTCTAAGCTGGGTTATATTTCACATACTGTGGCCAAGCGAATGTGGGTTTTTGGCCCATCATAGATGCCAGAGAGGGTGTACCTCCTAGATATTCTTCATATGTTACCATCCATTAATTGTTCCTGAGTATTCAGTGTTACCTGGGGGCAGACGATTTCTGCACTTTCTCAGCCACCTCAACTTGAACATCTTCATCGTGATCATTGTCATTTTCTGTAAATACAGAAGTGTTCGTTCAGATATTTACCACTTCACAGTCTGCAAGCACAGTCAGCCCAATGTGCAACAGAGACATGAACATCTAGGCATGGGTCACCGTTCAACTGAAAACTCTCATGTTTTATCTTTAACAGAATGCCCTGGCATGGTTTCCTGATCCATCAGGCAATGCATTTCTGATCTGGAGGGCCACCATCAAGATGTGGCCAAATATTGAAAAGACCTTTTGCTTCCCATATCACTGGAGGCTTGTGCAGCCTCTCTCTGGACTTTGGCAGCTGTCTCCCCCATCCTGCCAGATCTGATTCCCAGGCACAGGCTTGGTGTCCTGTCACAGTTTGCATTTCAAACCTAATTCTTTCTCTTAGAAGCAGACAAACTTGTCCCACAGTCCTCTATGCATCAGAAGATTTCAAGCCTCCAAGTGGCTTCTGCTGTGTTATTCAGGGACATTCTATCCATGGGGAGTGCTCCAGTCTGAAGCACTTCCTACCACGAAACACCACCACATAAAGTGCCTTCTCCAACATCACACGGCGAGGGGCTTCATCTCATTTTGGAAAGCAGTTTTAAGTGTTCCCACATTTGAATGCTTCAGACCCTTGCAAGAGACAATTTGCCATGGAGAGAGAGAAACTCAGGAAGGACAAGTCATTCACTCACTGACAGTTACTAAGAACATTGCCGAAAAGACAGCCTGGGAACCTTCATTCTTAGTCCAGAGCTCTTTTCACTCTAACAAGCCTGCTCCTATCGCAGCCTCCTTCCTGTCCTTTAAAACTAGACAGATGCTGCCTCTTACTCCAAAGACCACCTTCCATCAAGGGAGGAGGGGAACTTGCAATACTGTGACCTCCAACCCCATGGGTTTCCCAACTCCGTTCTTACCCAGGAACTCCTGGTCATGTCATGGCCACATATGTGTAGCAGAAAATAACCCCACTGATACAACTGTCATTGTGAAAGTATGGAGGTCTGGAGCCTCTCATAAGACTGGGGTTTTGGGTCATCAGGGCCTATGGCCACCTTACCTGGGCTGAGCTTTTGGAAAAGTTGCTGTGCCAGTCTACACCCCTCAGCCAGCTGTTCTTGGAGGTCCTGCCCCTGGGACTTGTCTGGCTCATCCGGAGTGAGGAGGGCCTGGAGATGCTGATTCAATGAGCGGGAGGCATCTCTCCCTTCCCGTAACTTCTCCCTTAACTGGGTCAGCTCCCGTTCCTGAGAGTGAACCAGGACTTTATATTGCCTAAGGTGAGACGGTAGAGAAAATTTAAGAGTGGAAAGGGTTGAGTGATCCGCTCAAATATTGCAACAGAGATTTCTGAGACAATGTCCTCAAGGAGACCTCCAAGCAGAAGGTCAGCACATGTTGAAAGGAATGACTGTGGCCAACAGAAAGAATAGAAAATGGTTTACAGGCTTCCTCTGTATCAGAGAGGGCTCCTGCAAGATCCTCGATGATGTTCCATTCATCTTTCCCTTCTGTAAACAAAAGTAGGTGTCTTCCTAATTCCGTTTCAAAAAGACATCCTTTCAGTTCCTCACTCTGGCCATGGACATTTCCATGTGAAAATACACATAGTGCATCTTGCGGCCACTAGATACAAAGCCATGTACAGAAATGAGGCCAGGTGCAGATGGGGCGAATTGAAAAGACGAAAGAAGAAAAGAATGACAGGGTCGAGAAGGCAACATTGATTGAGTGAAAGAATGAGAAGACGCAGTCAGTCAGAAGGTGATTCTCACTAAGGGTAAGTGGGGTGGTGATGGCACACCATTTTGAGTATACTGAATGCTGCTGTGTGGTTCACACTCCTTTGGTTAATTTTGTGTTATGTAAATTTCACATCAACAATTACTTGTTTGAAAAAGAGAAAACAAGGCTCTGAGAAACAACTGCAACCCATAAATTTTTATTATCCTTCTTCTCTGTTTGATAAATATTTGTGTGTAGCGAGCCTGCCATGGCAATTCCTGCCCTTCCCCTGGCCCAGCTTAGTTCTTAAGTCTCCCCACTGAGCTGCTGTACTTCAGAGATTTACACACCTGTCCCCCTGCCTGCCCCCATGGGGTCCCCTCACCTGAGCTCCTCAGCTTGCTTGAGCTGCTCTGCAAGCTTCTCCTCCTTGAACTGTCGCTCATTCCTCAGCACAGATTTTATGAGGTCTTTGCACTCTTCATATTCTGAGAAAAGACAGACACGCCTGCCTCAGTGGAAGGCTGGACATGCTGCTGTGGTCATTGCCTACAGGGCAGGAGCCAGGTCCATCCCAAGGACAAAACTCTCCCCAGTACCAGGGTCTAGACAGGGATTTCCACATCTTTACTCTTCAGTCTCCTGAATTTCTGGCATCTGATCCTCCAAAATTTAGAGATGAAGAGAACCTCAAGGGCACATCAAGGAAGTTGACAAGATGATTCAACCACAAGGAAGTGGAGTCAGAATTCACAGCCCCTGAGGTCTGACTCTGAATGCAGGGCCACTTTCCCAAGACTTGCAGCCTCTCCTCTAAAACACTGCACTGGGGCATGAAGTAGTGATTTCTTGTACAGTCGGGAAGGCCCCTAGGACTATGGGACTGATGGCTTCCCTTTTACTGGGAATTTCAAGGACAAGTATGCGAAAGATTTTAAAAATCTTTGATTTTTAAATCATATCTTCTGTTATGATTTTAAGAATCATATCTGAAGCATAAAGTGTGACACATAACACCATAAGGCCATGAAGGAAATATGCCCAAATGCTAATAAAGTTTGTGTTAATTTAGAAACAGCAGAATGAAGAACTAATAGATAGTGTTTACTCTGTGCCAATAAATGTTCTAGGAGATTGACAAGAAATAGCTCATGTAATTCACTGCAGCAATTTACAGAGGTAGGTATTATTGTAGTACCCTCTGAACAGGTGAGGAAACAGGGACAGAAAAGACAAGCAACTTGGATGGAGCCCAGGAGACAGGCCCACGGTCTCTGCTCTGTACACTGCACTGCTATCTCCACACATTCTCGGGTGCGATCTTTCTTCCTCTTTAGGAACAAGACTCTGTGCCCCAGGAAGCAGGACTTCATTCTCACCAAGCTACATTCTGCTTCTTATTCTTATTTTTATTTATCATTATTAGTATTATTTTTTTAACAGTCTTGCCCTGTCACCCAGGCTGGAGTGCAATGGCAAAATCTTGGCTCACTGCAACCTCAGCCTCCTGGGTTCAAAGGATTCTCCTGCCTCAGCCTCCTGAACAGGGGTGATTACAGTCACCTGCCACCACGCCCATCTACTTTTTGTATTTTTAGTGGAGATGGGGTTTCTCCATGTTTCCCAGGCTGGTCTCAAACTCCTGACCTCGTGATCTGCCCGCCTCAGCCTCCCAAAGGGCTGGGATTACAGGAGTGAGCCACCATGCACGGCCCCTACTCCCTGCTCTTGATGCTGTCACTTATAGATAGCACAGGTTCTATTAGGAGCAGACTCCTCTTGAAGCCCCTCAGAGCTGGTACTGGCTACTATCACCAAGTTTCCCTCAGAGTCACTAGAACAGAGCTTTGCCTGTTGGGCCTCAACAGAAACTTGAACTGAATAAAAGTTCACTAGTCTCAGACATTTAGAACAACAGACTAGATGTTATTTGTCTGCAGGATCTTACATGGTACAGAGAGGATTCTTGAAAACATGATTGAGCCTCTTGGAGAAAACAGGTCATTCTGTGCCTGTGTCAGAAATCAATAAATGGCAGTTTAACTCTAGTCCCACCCCCACCTGATTGCAAACATGGAAAGTTGCTAAATATTTTGGGACCTCTGTCTTCCAACTTTAACAAAATGTTAAAATACCCATTTCTGTTTTCCTAGAAGTATGGGGAGGATGACATTATTTTAGATGGAGAGAGCACTTAGTTTCTCAGAGAGAAGATAGGACTTCGTTCATCACTTTCGTGACGGTGAGCCTATAGATCTTACTGTATTTGTTCTGCTGGTTGGCCAGGAAGCAGGCCAGTTGAGTTACAAAACATTTCTCTTTGAGGTTTCTGAACTGCTGTTTCTTCTCTGCCAGCTGGGGGCGCAATTTCTCATTCATTTCTAGAATGTTCATCTCTGCCTTCTCGCTGGACAAAGGGCCGGCTGATACCACCATGCTGACGTTTGTGGCAGAAGAGGTGGGGCCAGGGACTGGGGAGAAGAAAGGCAAACACATGATGGGTTAAAAACTGGTGAAATCAAATAGGCTTAATCAGGACTGAGGGATGTCACTGGCAGCCTTGTCTACTTATTTGAAGATGATGTTTCCCTGGTTTCACTCTTGTCATCTCCAGTCTTGATCTCCTTTAAGTCAACTTGTCTTAGCTATGCAGTCACCTTGAAACCAAGACATAAACACTTCTACACTTTTCTTGCTTATAAGTTTCTATAAAGCAAGGCTTGGCCCTGAGATTTTTACCCCATGAGTGGCCAATGTTTCTGTGTAGCACAAAAGGTTTCATTTTGCTTTTTTAATTTTTTTCTTTTTTGGTTTTTTGTTTTTTGTTTGAGACGGAGTCTCACTCTGTCACGCAGGCTGCAGTGCAGAGGCACAATCTCAGCTCACTGCCACCTCTGCCTCCCGGGTTCAAGCGATTCTCATCCCTCAGCCTGCCAAACATCTGGGATTACAAGCGCCAAGTAACATGCCAGCTAATTTTTGTATTTTTAGTAGAGATGGGGTTTCGCCATCTTGGACAGGCTGGTTTCGAACTCCTGACCTCAGGTGATCCGCCCACCTCGGCCTCCCAAAGTGCTGGGATTAAGATGTGAGCCAGCACCCCTGGTCAGAGACATTTTTTTTTTTTTTTTTTGAGATGGAGTCTCGCTCTGTCTCCCAGGCTGGAGTGCAGTGGCACAATCTAGGCTCACTGTAAGCTCCGGTTCCTGGGTTCATGCCATTCTCCTGCCACAGCCTCCCGAGTAGCTGGGACTACAGGCGCCCAACACCGCGCCCAGCTAATTTTTTTTTTTTTTTGTATTTTTAGTAACGACGGGGTTTCACCGTGTTAGCCAGGATGGTCTCGATCTCCTGACCTCGTGATCCACCCGCCCCGGCCTCCCAAAGTGCTGGGATTACATGTGTGAGCCACCGCGCCCGGCCGAGACTTCTTATTAATAGCTGAGACAAGCCAATGAAAAGGAGAGAGAGTCTAGCCTGAGAGGAGCGAACCAGGGTGGGAGGATCGTCTCAGCCGATCCTCCCACCTAAGTCTCCTGAGCAGTTGGGACTATAGGCACGCAGCACCATACCTGCCTAATTTTTTGTATTCTTTGTAAAGATGGGTTTCACCATATTGTCCAGGCTGGTCTTCAACTCCTGAACTCAAGTCATCCTCCCACTTGGGCCTTCCAAAGTGCTGTGATTATACGTGTGAGTCACAGCACCTAGCTCCATCCTAGTTTCTGACTAAAACAATATGTGCGTATACAGCCTGTCCTCAGAATTGATCTTCCATAGCCTAGACAGAGGTATGAGACACAAGGAAAATAGAGGCTACCTGGGAGAATGTTTACAGCATCCTGACATTCATCATGAGAGGATTCTCTGTCTACAACCAGAGTTGAGTTGACTTTGTCTTCCTCAAATGTGATGTTGATGTTCTTGTGAGGCTGGTTGGAGTCACAAGGGCCGTGGCTATTTGAACAAGTGATGGCACATTCCTCCAGTGAGTCCTCAGGGACTTTGCTTTCTTCAGCCTTCTGCACCTCCCTGATGAGCCAGGTGGGACAGAGATGACAGAAGATTAAACACAGAGGGATTGGACCCCAGGGAGTCCTAGCTGGTTTTGACAGGCGGCATTAAGACAGTGGTCCCAGAAAGCAAAATGGAGGTTCCCTTTAAGGGGGAACAGGCAATCCTCTTCTCTCTGCAACAGAACATGGCTGCCATGGGAGCCAGAGAGGAAGAGAGCAGCTGGTGTTCAGTGCACTGGACAGATAGGAGCTGAGGAGGATGAAGACTCAGCTATCCCTGTATGGTACAGACATGACACTTGGCACACATAGAGAAACACGACAGCTGCCGCACCCTGTGTCTAAGCTGGGTTGAATTTCACATACTGTGGCCAAGCGAATGCGGGCTTTTGGCCCATCATAGATGCCAGAGAGGGTGAGCCTCCTAGACATTTTTATATGTTACCACCCATTACTTGCTCCCGAGTATTCAGTGTTACCTGGGGGCAGATGATTCCAGTACTTTCTCAGCCTCCTCAACTTGAACATCTTCATCCTCATCTTCGTCATTTTCTGTAAATACAAAATGTTCGTTCAGATATTTCCCACTTCCCATTCTGCAAGCACAGTCAGCCCAATGTGCACAGAGACATGAACATCTATGTGTGGTTCAGCATTGTACTGAAAACTGTCATGTTTTATCTTTCACAAAATGCTCTGGCATGGTTTCCTGGTCCATCGGGCAATGCATTTCCGATCTGGAGGGCCACCATCAAGATGTGGCCAAATATTGAAAAGACCTTTTGCTTCCCATATCACTGGAGGCTTGTGCAGCCTCTCTCTGGACTTTGGCAGCTGTCGCCCCCATCCTGCCACAGATCTGATTCCCAGGAACAGGTTTGGTGTCCTGCCACAGTTCGCATTTCAAACCTCATTCTTTCTCTTAGGAGAGGACAAACTTGTCCCACAGTCCTCTATGTGTCATGAGACTGCACAGGCCCTCCATGTGGCTTCTGCTGTGTTATTCAGGGACATTCTATCCATGGGGAGTGCTCCAGTCTGAAGCACTTCCTACCACCAAATGCCCCCACATCAAGTGCCTTCTCCAACACCAAACGGAGAGGGGCTGCATCTCATTTTGAAAAGCATTCGTAAGTGTTCCCATATTTGGATGCTTCAGACCCTTGCAAGAGACAATTTGTTTGCCTTTGCAGATGGAGAGAGAGAAACTCTGGAAAGAGAAATCACTCACTCACCGACAGTTACTAAGAACATTGCCAAAAAGACAGCCTGGGAACCTTCATTCTTAGCCCAGAGCTCTTTTCACTCCAACAAGCGCCCTCCCATCACAGCCTCCTTCCTGTCCTTTAAAACTAGACAGATGCTGCCTCTTGCTCCAAAGACCACCTTCCATCAAGGAAGGAGGGACACTTGCAATACTGTGACCTCCAAACCCATGGGTTTCCCATCTCTGTTCTTACCCAGGAAGTCCTGGTCATGTCATGGCCACATATGTGTAGCAGAAAATAACCCCACTGATACAACTGTCATTGTGAAAGTATGGAGGTCTGGAGCCTCTCATAAGACTGGGGTTTTGGGTCATCAGGGCCTATGGCCACCTTACCTGGGCTGAGCTTTTGGACAAGGTGCTGTGCCAGTCTACACCCCTCAGCCAGCTGTTCTTGGAGGTCCTGCCCCTGGGACTTGTCTGGCTCATCTGGAGTGAGGAGGGCCTGGAGATGCTGATTCAATGAGCGGGAGGCATCTCTCCCTTCCCGTAACTTCTCCCTTAACTGGGTCAGCTCCCGTTCCTGAGAGTGAACCAGGACTTTATATTGCCTAAGGTGAGATGGTAGAGAAAATTTAAGAGTGGAAAGGGTTGAGTGATCCGCTCAAATATTGCAACAGAGATTTCTGAGACAATGTCCTCAAGGAGACCTCCAAGCAGAAGGTCAGCACATGTTGAAAGGAATGACTGTGGCCAAGAGAAAGAATAGAAAATGGTTTACAGGCTTCCTCTGTATCAGAGAGGGCTCCTGCAAGATCCTTGATGATGTTCCATTCATCTTTCCCTTCTGTAAACAAAAGTAGGTGTCTTCCTAATTCCGTTTCAAAAAGACATCCTTTCAGTTCCTCACTCTGGCCATGGACATTTCCATGTGAAAATACACATAGTGCATCTTGCGGCCACTAGATACAAAGCCATGTACAGAAATGAGGCCAGGTGCAGATGGGGCGAATTGAAAAGACGAAAGAAGAAAAGAATGACAGGGTCGAGAAGGCAACATTGATTGAGTGAAAGAATGAGAAGACGCAGTCAGTCAGAAGGTGATTCTCACTAAGGGTAAGTGGGGTGGTGATGGCACACCATTTTGAGTATACTGAATGCTGCTGGGTGGTTCCCACTCCTTTGGTGAATTTTCTGTCATGCAAATTTCACATCAACAATTACTTGTTTGAAAAAGAGAAAACAAGGCTCTAAGAAACAACTGCAACACATAACTTATTATTATCCTTGTTCTCTGATAAATATTTGTGTGTCATGAGCCTGCCATGGCAATTTCTGCCCTTCCCCTGGCCCAGCTTCGTTGTTACTTCTCCCCGCCGAGCTGCTGTACTTCAGAGATCTACACACCTACCCGCCTGCCTCCCCCCACGGGGTCCCCTCACCTGAGCTCCTCAGCTTGCTTGAGCTGCTCTGCAAGCTTCTCCTCCTTGAACTGTCGCTCATTCCTCAGCATAAATTTTATGAGGTCTTTACACTCTTCATACTCTGAGAAAAGACAGACACGTCTGCCTCAGTGGAAGGCTGGACATGCTGCTGTGGTCACTGCCTACAGGGCAGGAGCCAGGTCCATCCCAAGGACAAAACTGTCCCCAGTACCAGGCTCTAGGCAGGGATTTCCACATCTTTACTCTTCAGTCTCCTGACTTTCTGGCATCTTATCCTCCAAAATTTAAAGACGAAGAAAGAGAAACTCAAGGCACATCAAGGAAGTTGACAAGATGATTCAACCTCAACGAAGTGGACTCAGAACTCACAGCCCCTGAGGTCTGACTCTGAATGCGGGGCCACTTTCCCAAGCCTGGCAGCCTCTCCTCTGAAACACTGCACTGGGGCATGAAGTAGTGATTTCTTGTACAGTCGGGAAGGCCCCTAGGACTATGGGACTGATGGTTTCCCTTTTACTGGGTATTTCAAGGACAAATATGTCAAGGACTTTAAAACATTTCATTTTTAAATCATATATTCAGATATGGTTTTAAGAATCATATCTGAAGCATAAAGTGTGAGACAGAAGACAATAAGGCCATGAAGGAAATATGCCCAAATACTTTATTAGTATGACAGGCAGCATCAAGATTTAGATTAGTTGTGTTAATTTAGAAACAGCATAAGATTAGTTTGTGTTAATTTAGAAACATCAGAATGAAGAACTAATAGATAGTGTTTACACTGTGCCAATTAATGTTCAAGGAGATTGACAGGAAATACCTCATGTAATTCATTGCAGCAATTTACAGAGGTAGGTATTATTGTAGTACCCTCTGAACAGATGAGGAAACTGAGGGACAGACAAGACAAGCAACTTGGATGGAGCCCAGGAGACAGGCTGAGGGTCCCTGCTTTGCACACTGCACTGCTGCTTCCACACATTCTCGGGTGTGATCTTTCTTCCTCTTTAGGAACAAGAGCCTGTGCACCAGGAATCAGGACTTCACTCTCACCAAGGTACTCTCTGCTTTTTATTTTTATTTTTGTTTATCTTTTTGTTTGTTTGTTTTTTGACGAGTCTTGCCCTGTCACCCATGCTGGAGTGCAACAGTGCAATCTTGGCTCACTGCAACATCTGCCTGCTGGGTTCAAAGGATTCTTCTGCCTCAGCCTCCCGATTAGTGGTGATTACAGTTGCCCGCCACGACGCCCATCTACTTTTTGTATTTTTAGTGGAGATGGGGTTTCTCCATGTTGCCCAGGCTAGTCTCAAACTCCTCAACTCGTGCTCTGCCCGCCTCAGCCTCCCAAAGTGCTGAGATTACAGGAGTGAGCCACGTTGCACGGCCCCTACTCCCTGCTCTTGATGGTGTCACTTATAGATAGCACAGGTTCTATTAGGAGCAGACTCCTCTTGAAGTCCCTCAGAGCAGGTACTGGCTACTATCACCAAGTTCCCCTCAGAGTCACTAGAACAGAGCTTTGCCTGTTGGGCCTCAACAGAAACTTGAACTGAATAAAAGTTCACTAGTCTCAGACATTTAGAACAACAGACTAGATGTTATTTGTCTGCAGGATCTTATATGGTACAGAGAGGATTCTTGAAAACATGATTGAGCCTCTTGGAGAAAACAGGTCGTTCTGTGTCTGTGTTAGAAATCAATAACTGTGAGTTTAACTCTAGTCCCACCCCCACCTGATTGCAAACATGGAAAGTTGCTAAATACTTTGGTACCTCTGTCTTCCAACTTTAACAAAATGTTAAAATACCCATTTCTGTTTTCCTAGAAGTACAGGAAGGATGAAATTATTTTTGATGGAGAGAGCATTTAGTGTCTCAGAGAGAAGACAGGACATCATTCATCACTTTCATGATGGTGAGCCTATAGATCTTACTGTATTTCTTCTGTCGGTTGGCCAGGAAGCCGGCCAGTTGAGTTACAAAACATTTCTCTTTGAGGTTTCTGAACTGCTGTTTGTTCTCTGCCAGCTGGGGGCGCAATTTCTCGTTGATTTCTAAAATGTTCGTCTCTGCCTTCTCGCTGGACCAAGGGCCGGCTGATACCACCATGCTGACGTTTGTGGCAGAAGAGGTGGAGCCAGGGACTGGGGAGAAGAAACCCAAACATATGATGGGTTAAAAACTGGTGAAATCAAATAGGTTTCATCAGGACTGAGGGATGTCAGTAACTGAAATTCTTAACTTACTGTTGTGAAAAATGTGATCACTCCCCACAGCACTTTAGGTTCCTTCACCACAAAAACAAGGTTCGAGGTGCCTGAACTCAGAGCTGAAAGCACTGCCAGTAGCTCAGACTCTGATAAGAGTGAGGTAGACTGTGGCCAGCGTGCCAGGTAACCGTCTGCAGTTGCAATAACAGAATTAGAAGGTGGGGGTGTCATGGAATCTTAGGAGCCCTGCATTCCAATTGCCCAGGCTTTGCTGAAACACAGGCACCCTAGTCTCACCTGAGGGTCACCACCAATGGGGATCATTCCTTCAGCATTCACTCTCAGTATTCGTGTACCCTTGTGATGATGCCACAGACCCGTGTCTTTCCCAATACATCTAAGCATATTCCTCACTGTTTATCTCTTGTCTGTACAACATCATCAAGGCAGAAACAGTTTCCCAACAGGTTGTATTTTCTTAATGGTAGTCATGAAGTCACCCCACCTGCTCTCAGTTAAAACAGAGCTTAAGGCTTTTCCACAGGTGTAAGATATCAAACTTTTAGCCTGCCCTGATTTCCTCTGGGTCTTCTGCAGTTTTGTCTGTATCCACTAGAAAGTGAATGAATAATTCATTTGTAAAAAATGTTGTCTTGCCTGTCTCAGTATTCTTCTTGCTGTTTCCCATTGTTATGTTGATTTCTTTTTTCTCACTGGGGCACCATCTTTGCTTTTCATTACACTCTAGACCAGTTTGACATCCCTATGTCCAGAGCTCTTCCTCTATGTGGGTTGATTTGGTTTTTGATGTCACTGAGCGCTACATTTTATACTTGTCACTTATGGATGTCATTCTAGTGTCACAAGAGCTCTTTTCAAGGTATCAAGTGATCAAAATCATTTATATAGAGATCTCCTGAAAACATGTGTGACCATCTATCTTGGGAAGTTTCATAAACCTGATGCTATTTTGTTGTTTCCATTTTGTTTTCCCATATACTGAAAAGAACAGGGCCATGAGCGGTTCTTATGCAATATGGTTTGATATATATTTTGTTGAGATGACCTAACACCATTGATTTTGGGTTGCATTCCACTAACAGAACATGGCAAGATCAAGGTTATGGTCACGGTTGGTTGGTGATCCTCAGTGTTGCAGTAGAAGGTGAGTTTGAGATGAGAGGAATGAGTAGGAAAGAGTGATCCCCTGAACCACCTCCTCGCTTTCTCAGCTTTCACCCCACCTAGGTTTTGTGAGCCTGGAACTTGGGAGACTGTTCTGTAGCCCAGGTCTCCTAAGATTGGCTGCTGGACTTGCCTGAGTTGAGGGTGCGGTGGGTTGACCCTGGGCTGCCCAGCATTCATGTGGTAGTGAAGGAAGGAGGACTGGATCAATCCCATTTCAAAGCATGTCTCTCTGCACTCCACACTGTCCTCCAATGACACTGTAAGGAAACCGCTTTAAGACGTATCAACGGCTTTAAGTAAATGTATTTTCTGGCATCTGGGAGACCTGACATTCTGTGTCATAATGAAAATCTGTCATGTTTCTTTATTTTAAAAATGATAAAACTGCAGGTTCACAGAGTTACATGGCTTACTTGAGGTCACACGGGGATGAGTTTTCAGCACTGCCAATAAAAGCAATCACATGAATTATTCAGTAATTATTCATAGGATCCATATAATTCAGTAAATATTCACATAATTATTTACTAGTTGTTCATTGACCAATTCGTACAAGGCATTTTGCTCAAAACTGTGCTTATATTTGGACATTGTATCTTCATCATAATCCTGTGGTAATGCTATTATCCGTAAGTAACAGGTAAGAAACCTGAAGAGGAGGGATAGCAAATCATGTATTTGGACATATTTCCTTTTTTTTTTTTTTGGTTTTTGTGATGCTGGAAGAATGACCAGAATGAGTCATAGGAAGAGTATACATTCCTGTAGTATTTTCCAGGACAGAGGTGTGACCTCCTAGAGTACTGGGACCAAAATTCCCAAGTGTCTGCAACCTTGCTTTAACAGTATGGGAGATCACCTCTATCACCTGGAATTCCCCTGGAACTCTGGAATATACAAGAGAAGTATGAGACTTGGGTCTTCCCTTGGCTGTGTTTAATTCACTCTTCTATGGAATACCAATGATTCTCACTAAGACTGGCCTTTTCATAAGCACAATGTGCATTTTATGGAGAAGATTTTACACTTTGCTCTATTTAGAAAGAATAAATATGAGCAGTGGTTTAGGTTTTATGCCCTGGACTTAATATGTTTCTGATTCCTGTTTTGAGATTAAATTCTCATGTAAATAGAAAAATACTTATTATTTCTCATAAGGCCAAGTTTGTTATTAGTTTGAGTTTTTGAAGATGAAGCACAAACTTTTGATTTTATCTTTGTCTGTCTCTGTCAGCGCCACTCGTTGTCTCTCAGTATGACCTGGACTTGCCCCTGCACTTACCCTTGTCCTGCTGAACCATCTCCATGCACTGTCCAATTCCATCAGTGATTCGGGCTCCTTCCAAGGCTCCCTGAAAAGGGCACAGAGATCAGGACATTAGGCACATTCCGGACACAAAGGCAACCCATACTGTAGAGTGGGCAGCTGTGTTTCCACTTCCCTAATATTCCAGTGATGTCCTCAAACTGAAAGGAACACTTTCCCTTTTTAGGGGTCTGTTCTTCATGTCTCAGTGCCTCTGATCTAGTCAACACAACTGTCCTGAATGTGAAAGAACTTGCTAAATTTCTAGTTTCTTGTTAGGTGGCTAAAATAGATTTATAAGACTTCCTTACTTACCCATGACTGCTGAAGTTTGAATTCTTAGCAGTACGATTCGTTTTCTTGTAAGGTGAGCAGCTTAGGAAAGATTGGCCATCTTCCTGTGCAAAAAGAGGCAAACTTAATTTCTACTCAAAGCATGCTTGAATTTGGAATCAGGGCTTCCACTCTTCCGAAGTTGGAGTGTCACTGCGACAGGCATGTGTCCCGAAGGGCTCGTGTCTCTGCTATACTCAAAGTTTAAATGGAGCCCAGCAAGCCAGATGTCCTTTACTTCTAGGTTCCCTCAACAGTTTCTCCTCCGCTTTAGAGACCGCATTGAAAATATTCTTGTTCTGCTGCTGTGTTTTGGCTTTGGAATGATGTGATGCAGCTCAATGGGTCCCACCCCCAACTTGATCAAAGTAAGAAACAGCTGGGAAAGTCAGTGCAAATACAAGTTCATTGTCCTCCTTGCAGGGATTCTGATTCAGAGGGCTCAGGTGGGGCCTGGAATGTGTTTGTTAACATGACTCAGATGTGCAGTCAATTTGGGGACTCACTGACAGCATTGACCTTACAGTTTATGGGATGATTCTTTCTGTTTGGTGATGAAGAAACTGAGGCACACAGAGTCTGTAACTTGCCCAAGTTCCCCTTGTTGTAAGTCCTGGAGCCAGATCTCAGGTGGACCAGTGCTTCTCTCCCCTATACCTCATTTCTGAGAAAAGGAAATCTTCTGGAATTTGACTTCTTTCATCTAACACATTTCCTCACAACATGCAGCCAGCATCATATTTTGGCCACTTACTATTAAAGTGAGATGCTTTTTTTTTTTTTTTTTTTTTTTTTCAGACAGGGTCTTATTCTGTCACCCAGGGTGGAGTGCACTGGTGATTATAGATCACGGCAATCTTGAACTTCTGGGCTCAAGCGATCCTCCTGCCTCAGCTTTCCAAGTAGTTGGAACTCTAGGCACACATCACCATTTCTGGCTAATTTTATATTTTTCATAGAGACAAGGTCTTGCTATGTTGCTCAGGCTGGTTTTGAACTTCTGGCCTCAAGCGATCCTCCCACCTAGGCCTCCAAAAGTGCTGGGATTACAGAAGTTAGCCACTGAACCTGGCCCTGAAATGCTTTTACTTTCTTTCTTTTTTTTAATGAAAATACTGGACATGGAGATGTGGAAAGACACCTTGCTTTATTACTTTTGTTGTTATTATTATTTCTACAGTAGAATTTATACATCACAAAATTCACCATTTTTAAGCATACATTTCAGTGTCTTTTACCATATTCCAAAACTTTCGCAACCATCGCCACTACCTAATTCCAGAATATTTTCATAATGCCAAAAAGCATGCCTGTACCTATGGGCAGACACTCTCCAATTCCCCCCTTCTTGCGCTCTCTGACAACCACTAATCTACCTTCTCTATATATTGATGTACTTGTTCTGGGCACTTCCTCTATATGGAATAACAAAGTGTGGTATTTTCTATCTGCTTCTTAGAATATTGTTCTCAAGTTTCATCCTTTCTAGCCTGCGTCAGTACTTCAACTTTTTATGGCCAGATAATATTCCACTATATGGTTATACCACATTTTGTTTATTCATCAACTCATGGTGGTTTAAGATGTTTCCACTTTTTAACTATTAGGAATAATGCTGCTGTGAACAGCTTTGTACAGGTTTTTGAGTGAACATCTGTTTTTCATTTTCTTGGTTATAAACCTAGGAGTGCAATTGCTGCATCATATGTCACTTTATGTTTCACTTTTTGAGGAACTCACACACTGTTTACTAACTTCAGTAGCTACATCATTTTAGATTCCCAATAGTAATATATGAGAATTCCATATTCTCCATCACTTTTGAAACATGTGTTGTCTTTATTTTTTTCTTAAGTCATACTGCTGGGTGTGAAGTGGTATCTCATTTTGGTTTAAATTTACATTTTCCTAATGACGAAAAACATTGAACATCTTTGCATGTGCTTCTTGGCCATTTGTGTGTTTCCTTTAGAGAAACCTCTACTCACAGCTTTTTTTCCCCATTGTTAAATGTGGTTGTCGTTTATTGCTCAGTTATATGAATTCCTTATATACTCTAGGTACTAGACCTGTGTCAAACATATAATTTGGAAATAGTTCTCCCATTATGTGGATTATCTTTTCACTTCCTTGACAGTGTCCTTTGAAGCATACAAGTTTTTTATTTTAATGAAGTCCATTTATCTATCTATTTTTCGGTTGTTTGTGCCTACTTAAAAAATGTCTAATCCAAAATCACAAAGATTTGTACCTAGGTTTCCTTCAAGACATCGTCTTTTGAATGAGAACTTTCCTGGGTTTTAGAGGAGGGTGGACATTGTTTATTGATGCCTCCTGTCCATTACCGATGTTTCTCTTGATTGTTATTCATATGCTCACCACCCCTCCATGGAGCATCCATGGCCTGTGACAGAGCTCTGGGGACTGATATCCTTCCACTGACTTTGGCGCTGGTGAGAGCCCTGGTCATGTGATTCAGCTTGGCCTTAACCCGACCCAGTTGCACATATTCCTCAGGCCCTTTAGAGTTGAAGTCGAGACCTCTCTGAGAACGCTTGCCAGCCCATGCTCTTCTAAGGCTGGAGCAAACTTCCTCCATCTATTCCAGACAGAGGGGACTGCAGGGGTTGGACTCACTCAAGATATCTCTGGTGTTAGAAAGAAGACCTGTTTCAGGCTTTGGGGAAGATTGTTCAATATGAACTAGGTCCTCTCTAATTATTTTTACCGTATGTGTGACTTCTTTCTAGAAACAAGGGAAGAATATTTATGTTAGAACATTTTGTCTATTCTTTGTCAATTGTTGTTTATCTACAATTTTAACATGGATAAAGGAGAGTTCAGTGTCAATATATTCTTAACAACTAATTACGGCTCATGTCCACCGCCATGCGATCATATTTAAATCTGTCAACTATCCTGTTACTTAGGTATTATCCTGTTCCTGATGAGAAAACAAACTCAGAAAGATTGCAAAATTTCCCTAGGTCACAAAACTAGTGAGGAGAGGAGTAAGAATTAGATATCCGTTCCTTTTGGCCTTCAAAGCTAACCTTGTACCATTAGATCAAACTGATTTACATACTTTTGCTGGAATTAGTCTCAGACTTGTGGTTCTCACTTGATTTTCCCAAGGAAACAGTGTGCCACTTTAATATCGTTTCAAACTTTGAAATTTAAAACTCTTTTTATTATACTTTTTTGTCTTTGTTCTATTCCGTTGCTTTTGGTTTCTTCTCAACGGATCCCTCTTATTTATATGCTAAATATTTGTTACCTATTTTCTGTCAATTTTCACATTTTTGAGTGTTTGTTATCTGTCTGTTGTATGCTAACAGTTCTTCACTGAGGTAAAATTTGCGTAGAGTATACTGCAAAAAAACCTAAAGGCACAGCTTAATAAATTTTAATATAATTATAATTGTAAAGTAACACCCAGTTAAAGACAGAGAACATTTTCCCCCATGCCACAAAGTTCTGATGTGGTCCTTGCCAGTCAATACTCATCCCCCAAATGAAGAATATATTCTGAATGTTGTCACTGCCTTAGCCCCTTTGTGTTGCTGGAAAGGAATACCAGAGGCTGGGTAAGTTATCAAGACAAGAGGTGCCTTTTGCTCATAGTTCTGCAGGCTGTACAAGAAGCATGGCCCCCGCATCTGCTCCTAATGAGGGCCTGAGGCTGCTTCCACTTGCAGCAGAAGGTGAAAAGGAACCAGGGTGTGCAGAGATCATATGGCGAGAGAGGAAGCAAAAGAGAGCAAGGAAAGGTGAGAGGCACTTTTTAATAACCAGCTCCTACAGGAACTAAGAGAGTGAGAATTCACTCACTACCTTCTCCCAGGGTGGGGATTCATCTATTCATGAGGGATCCACTCCCATGACCCAAACACCTCCCATTTACCCCCACCTCCAACACTGGGGACCACATTTGAACATGTGATTTGGAGGGGACCAATATTTAAACTTAGCAGCCACCATAGATTCATTTTGCTTGATCATGTGCTTCATAAAAATGGAATCATTTTGGCTGGGCCTGGTGGCTCATGCCTGTAATCCCAAGACTTTGCAAGGCTGAGGCGGGCAGATCACCTGAGGTCAGGCGTTCAAGACCAGCCTGGCCAACATGGTAAAACCCTGCCTCTACTGAAAATACAAAAAATTAGCCAGGCATGGTGGCCGGTGCCTGTAATCCCAGGCACCGGATATGTACTGGTATCTCATATGTACAGGATATGTACTGGTATCTCATTGTTGTATTGATTGATGTTCCTGCTGGCTAAACAGTAGAGCATCTTTTCCTATGCTAATTGACCATTCATGTATCTTCTTTTCTTAAGTACCTATTCAAGTCTTTTGAGAAATTGTTTCATTGTGCTGTTTATCTTATTAAACTTATATATATATACATACATATATATATACAAATACACTCTAAAAAACCCCTTTGTTGGAAATAAATATATCTCTTATATTGTGGTTTCTTTTAATGTTCTCTTAATGTTCCCTGTTTGGAGATAACGATAGATAATCTTCAAAAAGGTGAATATACACACCCACACCCACCCACACACACACACACACACACACACACACACACGAGCCACCGGATCCAGCCTGTTGAATTTATTTCTAAGCACAACATGTATTTAGATGTTACTTGAAATGAAATTGTATTTTTATTTCATTTTCCAAATGCTCATTGCTAATACACAGAAATACAAAAGACTACTTCTATTGAGCTTATATTCTGCAACATTACCAAACTCACTAATTAGTTTTGGCAGATTTTTATAGATTTCTAGGATTATTAACATACACAGTCATTATCTGTGAATAAGACAGCTTCAATTCTTTCTTTTCAATCTTTTCAATACTTTTATTTATTTTTCTTACTTTATTGCATTGATTTAGATCTCTAGTATAATGCTGAATTGAAAGAATAACAACAGATATTCTACTTTTTTCTCTGATTTAATAGAAAAGCATTCAATCCTATGCCATTTAATATAATGTTACCTCTGAGTTTTTTTCAAATCTACCCTTAATAGGGTTGAAAGTGTTGCCTTCTCTTCTTATCATGCTGAGAGTTTTCTGGGGTTTGTTTTTATAAATCATGAAAAAAGTTTTCAATTGTGCCAAATGCTTTTACTGTGTATGACAAGGTAATCATATGGTTTTTCTCTTTTGCCCTGATAATACATAACATTACATTTTCTTAAATATAAAAAAGATTTCTTGAATCAAGCTAGGACAGTTTTTTTAATTATAAACTTTTAACAAATATGTTGAAATATAACTTACATGCAATTGAGATGCATGAAAGTGTATAATCATTAAAGTGTATAATTTTAAGAGTTTGAGCACACTATACACGAGTCAAAGAGAAAGGACAGAAAATACTAACGATGGCTCAGCACATGTGGTCTATCTTGCTGAATGCTCTATGTGAGTTTGAGAAGAGTTATTTGTTAGCTGTTCTTAGATGTATTTTGCTTAAATATCGACCTGGCTAACATGTGTCATTGATTGTGTGAATTAATTTTGTTCTAGTGGGCAGTAAAATTACTGTCTGATCACTTTGGACTTATGTGGACTGGTTTATGTTTTATTACAACGGATTCATGGAAAGCCCACAGCATTTCCCAAGACCCTCTAATTTGGCAGGACTCAATCACCAATCCACCCCTTTGTGAATTTGTCAGGGTTTGCTTTTAGGCTTTAGCAGGTTGGTCTACAATAGGCCTTATTGAAAAGTGTGACACTTATTCCTAAAGCACATCCATTCTAGTGTCTCAGTTGGATACCTGGGTGCTAATGAGGTGTGCATGAGTTCTTCCCACCATGGATGGCAGAAACTCCATCATACATTCCCCAACCCTCCTCCACCTCAAGTACCTCTGGTCCAAACTCAATTTCATAGCAGCCACCCCTCTGTTAAATCTGTTAGTCTTTTCCTTGTGCAGGTAGAGTCCACTCCTTGATAAGTATGCACATGGAACCCCACATAGACTTTGAGAGCTGCACCTTTGATCAGCTGTCTCCTCACTGGTGCCCTGCCCTGCAGATTGCAGTTGCTTCAGCCGTCTTGAACTCTGATCTCTGCCTTCTCAGCTCAGTGAGCTGCCCTGCCCTGAGTGGACTCTAGCTCACTATGCAGCTGCTGAGAAATTCTCCCCAAACAACTAGGAAATCATGGGGCTTCCCCCTTAAGTTTTCTCTTGGACTGCCTGTTGTACACTGCTGAAAACAATTTTACGTTTGTTTATGGAGGCAGGGTTAGTCTGATATGATTTATTCTAACAGACAGAAGCAGAAATCTGTTATACTCTTTTAATTACTGTGTCTTTATAATATTATGGTAGACAGAATCCTAAGATGACCCCCAGTGATCTTTGCTCTTATATAATCACTTCCTCCTGAGTGTAGACAAAGCTACTGAGGAGATGTCACTCCTGTGATTGTGCTACAATTTATGGCAAAAACAAGTTAACAGATGTAATCGAGATCCCAAATCGGTCAAATTTAAGATAGACAGATTATCTGATGAGCTTGACCTAGTGAACGTGAGTTCCTTGGAGGGACTGAGGACTTCCTGGAGAGATGTGAAGTGCAGGAGGGTTTCCATGCAGGGCGATCCTCCTCTGCTGGCTGGAGGAAGCATGCAGTGGGAACATGGGAGGCCTCTACGAGCAGCGAGAGGCCCCTGGCTGACAGCCAGCAAGAAAACAGAGATCTCAGTCCTACAGTCACAAGGAACTGAACTCAGCTGACAACCTGAGGAAACTTGAGAGGAAGTTCTTCCCCAGAACCTCCAGAAAGAAACCCAGCCTAATTTCAGCCTGTGAGGCCCTGAGAAGAAGACCCAGAGAATCCAGGCCTGAACTTCTGATCTGTGGACACTGCAAGAAAATAAATCATTCTTATTTTATGCCGCTAATGCTTGCAGTAATTTAGTATGCAGCAATAGAAAATTAATACAAATAAAATGGAGAAGGCTTTGGAGTGGGGACAAGAAGGAAACGGTGGGAGAGGGATGCCTGTATGCTGATATGGTTGATGCCTGTATGGTTGAATTGGGTCTACCGTTCCTCATCTAATTAGCTATGGTCTATTAAGGTGCATAGCTACACACAAATATTGGTACTACGTTCAATTCAGAGGAATAAGATATTGCATTCTTGACAGTAGACAAGAACACCCTGAATTTGGGGTCACTGTATCATAAGTCATGTTATCAGGTCCCTCTAGGAAGGCTTAGAGGAAGATTTCCAGGATACACTTGTGACAACATTGAAGGCTTCTTTCTTCCCCAAAGGGACCCGATCTCCCCTCAGTCGAGAAGCTCCAAGTCTCTGAACTGGATGCCAGGTTATAAATTCCCCCTATACTGACTCCATCAGGCTTCTGTCCTCAGAACTAGAGTTTATCAGTAAAAGATAGACTCATGGGAGTCTAGGCATTTATTCTCTTATTTTATATAAATCAGTTAATGTGCAGGAACAAAACAGACTTTGAAGAAAGACACTCACAGTTGCCACAGGAAAACACCTTCAACATCCTCATGAGTCATCATGGGTGTTCTGTTGGGAGGACTTGATAGGAGGCTTTCCTCCTCACGGGCTAGTGCAGATCCAGGGGAAATGTCATCAAGTCCTCCATTCGGAGGGTAGCAGCTGAGGCTGCTGATTCGTTAGGCCTCCTGCAGCTGGAGATGCAAGTAGTGCATTTTCATGGCCACCGCAGGGCCCTCAGTTTAGCATTCTTCAGAGCCAGCATCCAACAAGCCACAGAAGCTCTGAGTATTTCCCTTTCCTCAGTCACCCACATAAATGGCTTCAGAGCCTTCTGGGGAAGGCCTGAAGGAAGATTTACAGCATACACTTGTGGTAGCATTGAAGGCTTCACTCTTCCTCAAGGGATCCAATCTCCCCTCAGTCAAGAAGCTCCAGGTATCTGAACTGGATGCCAGGTCATAAATTCCCACTATGGTGACTCCATCAGGTCTCTGTCCTCAGAACTAGAGATTTTCTAAGTGTAACGTAAGTTGATTTCTTAGTAGATGTCCCATCCATTACATTCCCAGACACCTCACAATGATTCGAATGATTAGTAACCACCACATATCCCTGCCTCTCAGGGAAATCCCTCCCGCCTTGTCTCTAGATGGCCAAGTCCCACGGCCTGTCCTCTACTCTTCCAGAACCCTGTTGTTCTCACTGACAGCAGGGAGGGCAAATCCATGCAGCAGCTCCCGCCATGACCTCCAGCCTGCAGAGGATGGGCGCCACAGGACTTTTAAACGCATGCCGCTGTTCCCCTCACCTGTGCATTTCTTAACGCCTTGGTGAGGAGAATGTCTCTGGATCTTCCTTGATGGGAGCTAAAGGAACAAAGGTAAATAATGCTATGGGACCCACTGAGAACTGGGGCTGTGGAAGAGTGGCCACTGAAGTAATAGACAGATGCAGCTATTGCCAGATACTCAGTGCCAGAGCAGGGAGGGACAGGGAAGAAATACGGACCTCACCTTCCTCTCACTTCCAGGATCCATCGGGGGCCCTCCATTGCTAAACCTAACTAGAAGTGTGCACGCAGGGGAGCCAGGGATGCATTCTAGGAGGGACGAGCCCCGAGTGGCATGAGACAGGATGGAAATGAGTGGACAGTGGATCTGTGGGAAGAAGGAGGGGATGTTATGGGAAAACAAAAGGAGAATACTAGCTAAGAACGCTAGGTGACATTAATATTCCGAAGTCTGTGCTCATATTCAGAAAAGAAAGTTCAGCATAAAGCACTAAATAAGGAGTCAAGATATTGTACTTCCAACTGTTGTTCCAACAGCTGTATTATAAAGGGCCACTTTATTTCATGCCTTTCTAATTTGACCTAAAGTGCCAGGTGGCATTGGGGCTGGCACAGCCTTGCTCAATTATGTGTTGCAGAGTACACAGAGACTGCCAGGCTGAGGGAAGATGCAAGAGAATAGAAGAGATGCTCTCAGGGAACAAGAGACCACATGGCCCCAGAGTCAGGGGCAGCATCAGCCACTGTCAGCTGCTCATTTTCCCAGACAGAGCCCACAAGCCTCAGCCATGCTTTGCTTCTGCAAGACGCTTCTTCACCTTTTCAATAAACCTGCCTGAATTTAAGCTGACAGGGTTTATTTCTCCTTCATCATAAATGAAATTCTTCACCACAACAATCTCCAATGAATTTTGGGCACAGCAGGCAGGCCCATTTCTGCTTCTGTTCCACTATCTCTCCTGTAGGTTGAAAAGGAGGAGGTACTGAATTACCTCCAAATGTTCCTCTGGCTCTGATATTCTGTTATTCTGGTTCCTTTTTGGCTACTTTGTTTTTGGTAGCGTGTATCCTAAGGCGTCCAGTTGAACAACTTTTGTCTACTGTGTCCAGGCATTCCTGGTGGTATTTCAGATAAGACTCTCTTGGGTTGCTGAACTCACAACCACTGAACCAATTCTATGACCATCTGTTTCATGGCCACATGTTTGCTCATTTTATATGTACATAAAGGGAGGGGACAGACAGCAAACTTGCGTGTTACAAATTGTATCATCTTAAAAAGGAAACAAGGCAACACTTTGCAATAAAACCTTAAGATGCATGAAATTTGAGCCTAATGCAATAAAGGATGCCCATAAAATTCTTATCTAAAGAATGTTTCGAAAATTGTTGTACAAGGACATCATCATTTAAAGTGATATGAAGAAACCTTCTCAGCTAAGCATATGGGCTAGATTAGAGAGAAAAATAAAGGACCCATCTCTGCCCTGGAAAAACTGCTGGTAGCATCTTTCAAAAAGCT
>NT_187368.1:0-40745 GCF_000001405.40 Homo sapiens
GAGCATTCTCTAGTAGGAAGACCTTTTTAGAGTACAAAGGCCAGATCCTGCCCTCAAGGGGTTTACAGGCCATTAGGGAGATAAAACAACCTAGGGCAAGTGCTGGAGATGCAGCATCAGCCAACTGCTGAATACACTCAAAAAAATGAGAGCCCACTGGATTGTCTGGGAGCCTCCTAGGAAAGCTGAGTCCAAGCTGGGCTGGGAGGTTGGATAAGGCTGTGGCCGGGAGAAAAGGGAGAGGCAAGGCAGAGAGAGAAAGGAATGGCAGAAATGTGTAAGGAAGAGACCTATTTGAAGAAGAGGAGAGAAAAGAAATTAACACTTGGAAGATAGGTTTGGGTCTGTCTGTGGGAGCCTCGTTGCCCAGCTGCATTTATACCCCATCACTGGCACTGTGGGGAGTTTTGAGAGGAGAGTGAAATTAACAAAGTGGGGCATGGGAGGAGGGGGGGTCATGAAGGATGAGAGCAAGCAAGTCACCATGTAGTTACAACAGTGGCCCAAGGGTGCTCTCCAGGAACATGTGGGGCATGGGAGCCCAGGGCAGGAGGAGGGCTCCGCTTCCTCTGTGCTCTAAAAAGGGAAGGGATCAAGGGGTGAAGATTCCAGCCCCTTTGGAAGTGGAGGAGGCTAGGGAAGAGCTCTTACTACAGGGAATCCTGTTCTCATGGACCTGGAGGCCAGGGCCTTTGCTGAGAACATGGCAGGGGAGGGCAAGGGCTCACAGAGGGAAAATTCAAAAACTCCAACAACTACTGGGAAGGAAGTGGAGTGAGGAAGGGATGAAGAGAGTGAATTTGTGGGTTCGGTGGACAAGGTTTTCTGGCTCTTCCTAGCATCCCAGGAGTTCAGAAAGCACAGGGTAAAAGCCACTTACTTTCTCCCTCTACTTTGATGGAGGGTTGACTATGGGCTAGTGCTGGTCTAGGAACTGAGGGGAGATGAAGGGCCTCAGATACATGTTCTCTGTCTTCACCAAGCTTGTTGCAGAGTGAAGGTAAGAAACATAATACAATTGCAATAAAGAGAAATGGACATGGGTCCTGCCCATTTGAATCAGAGATTGTTAGAAATACAGACTTCTGCCAACTGATTAAATCCCACCACCACCACCACCGCCACCATTATCAGAAACTTTCTTGGCACAGGGCACAAGCTTGTGTCTTTTTTTCAAGGCTAGTTCTAACACACGGTGTAACATCCATGAGTCAGATTGTCTTGGTTTCTATCCCAACTTTACCACTTACTGACTCTATGTGTGTGTGACTGCTCTTGCCTCAGTTTGTTCATCTAAAAAATAGGATAATAGCAGTACCTACTTCGTAGGATTAAATGTGATCTTTCTTATAAAGTCCTAAGAAACAGCCTAACACAGCAGGTGCTTAGTAACTGTTGGCTGTTCGCTAAAGGGCATGACTAGGGTTGTGGTAGGGGAAAAACACGGTGCTGTGGGAATCCAGGTGGGGGATCTAACCTGGACCTGAGGGTCAGGGAAGGCTTTCTGGAAGAGGTGACTTCCAAGCTGAGACATGCAGGAGAATGAGGAGTGAACCAGGTCGCATGGGTGAAAGCGAGAGTTTAAGCAGAGAGAACAGCAGGTGCAAAGTTCCCAGACAAGAGATCCAAAACCATGGAAGGGACTGACTGTGGTTTGGTGGGGCTGGAATGCAGGGCGAGGCAGGGCTGTGGAGGGGCAGGAGATGTCCAGATCCTGGAAGTGTTTGAATTCTATCCTGAGAGCCACAGGAAGCTGCTGCAGGGCTTTAAGGAGAGAGGGATCTGATCTGTGATTCGAGGCATCCCTCTTGCTACGGTTTGAAGAGTCGGTTGAAGGCACAAGCCCAGAGCCAGAGGCGAGTGAGGAAGAGGTTGACATGATCCCAACAAGGGAGACAGAAGGTCTGAACTAGGAAAAGGGCTGTGGAGAGGGAGAAAGTGGGCAAACTGACAAGCACCTGGGTGGCCGATGGAAGTGGGGGGCTCAGGAAGATGAGCGTGCCAAGGGTGGCTCTGGACTTGGGTTTGAGCAACATTTCCACTGGATGGATGTTGAGAAAGGGAAGATGGAAATGGAGCACATTTGGGGAGAGAAATATAAATTCAGGTTTCAGTACATTGAGATTTTTAGTGCTTATGAGATGTCCCAGTGGAGATGTCTGTCCACTGGGCAACTGGACATCAGGCTTTGGTGCTCAGGACCTATGGTGGGTTGTAAATATGTTTTTGGAAACCATGAGCATTTAGAGCTGAGGCTGAGAATTGACATAATGTTCAGTGAAGACTAGGAGATGCAGGAGGGGGTTCATAGGCTCAAGGAAGCAGTAAAGGAATTGAGTATATGAAACTTCATACATATGTTGCAGTCAACATAGTCATATAATTAGTTAAGATGAAGTCATCCTGGAGGAGTGGCTCCCACTCCTGCTGCTTCTGACTCAATACTTAGGGGTCCCTGGTGAGTGCCCCCAACCCTGATCCCCATCTGCCTTCAGGAGGGGGTTGGCCCCATTCTCCTATTCTGGGATGAGAAAAAAGTCGGGGAGCCAGAGGCTCAGTGGGCATGGGGCAGTGACCTTGGCCTCTTGAGCACAGCTGGGAAGCCCTAGGAACACACAGACACGGCCCACTTAGGCCTCTATTAGCACGTCTGCTCTAGCACTGAAGCAGTGTTAGGACCACACAGATGCACGCACACAGCAGGCAATGACCCCTCCTGAGCCTGATCTACCCCTCTAACCTAGCGTATGCCTTTGTGCAGGTGAGAGCCCAGATTTGGAGTCTGAATGCCTAGCCTGGGCCCCTGGCTGGGTAATGTGATGGCTCTGAGCCTTAGCATTCTCATTTGAGAGATGAGATGGGGCAAGCTCCATCACCCACTGCTCTCACAGAGCGTATGTGTTAGATCTGAGCCCGGTGCCTGGGCCACTACACAGAGGCACCGGTGATAACTACCAAGTCTGGGCCTGCTTCCCAGGGGAAATTTTTTTGACAAGTATCTGTGCAGGGGGGCTAGACTGGCCCTTGAAAGTGCATACAGGGTCCATCCCAGAAGCCTTGTAGCTTTGATCCCCCGAATGAACAAAGTGTGGACATGCCAATACACATTACTGACATGTATGCCCACCTGACCTGCACCCACTCATGCCCACTCTGCAGGGCAGCGCTCGCCATTGAATGACTTCCAGGTGCTCCGGGGCACAGAGCTACAGCACCTGCTACATGCGGTGGTGCCTGGGCCTTGGCAGGAGGATGTGGCAGATGCTGAAGAGTGTGCTGGTCGCTGTGGGCCCTTAACGGACTGCTGGTGAGTGGCCACTGGGCCTAGATAAGACTGGGGGCAGGGGAGCCTGGGCCGTGGCGTTACCCTGTGCCTTCTTCTCTCCAGGGCCTTCCACTACAATGTGAGCAGCCATGGTTGCCAACTGCTGCCATGGACTCAACACTCGCCCCACTCAAGGCTGTGGCATTCTGGGCGCTGTGACCTCTTCCAGAAGAAAGGCGAGTGGGGGTGGAGAGGGGCAGGGTGGGAGACAGGGGACCTCAGCCCAAGTTGATCTTCTGTCTCTTGCTCCCAGACTACATACGGACCTGCATCATGAACAATGGGGTTGGGTACCGGGGCACCATGGCCACGACCGTGGGTGGCCTGTCCTGCCAGGCTTGGAGCCACAAGTTCCCGAATGATCACAAGTGAGACAAACACCTTCCCTCCGTCCCGGCCTGGGACCTTCCCCCAGCACACACTATAGTGATGCTCTGGGCCCTCAGGTACATGCCCACGCTCCGGAATGGCCTGGAAGAGAACTTCTGCCATAACCCTGATGGCGACCCCGGAGGTCCTTGGTGCCACACAACAGACCCTGCCGTGCGCTTCCAGAGCTGCGGCATCAAATCCTGCCGGGTGGGTAAGCGGCGCCGGGTCAAGCTGGGAGAGTGGAGGGACAAGCCCACGCCCATCCACGAACCCACTGGCTCTTTGTCTCCAGCCGCGTGTGTCTGGTGCAATGGCGAGGAATACCGCGGCGCGGTAGACCGCACCGAGTCAGGGCGCGAGTGCCAGCGCTGGGATCTTCAGCACCCGCACCAGCACCCCTTCGAGCCGGGCAAGTACGCGTAGGCGGTATCGGCGCCCTGGGGGCCGGGCTAGGGAAGGTCCAGGACTCCAGGGGCAGGGCTCCGTGTAGGGCAACTGGGCGGGGCCAGATAAGCCAGAGTCCCAGGGTCTTCTTCACGCCCCATTACCGCCCCCAGGTTCCTCGACCAAGGTCTGGACGACAACTATTGCCGGAGTCCTGACGGCTCCCAGCGGCCATGATGCTACACTACGGATCCGCAGATCGAGCGAGAGTTCTGTGACCTCCCCCGCTGCGGTAGGCGGCGGGGACCAGGCCTGGGAGGGTACCTGGGAACCTTGGGGAGGGGCGTGGCTTGGCCGGGAGGTAAGAGGGGCTGGGCGTGACCTGAGAGCATATCCCGTGGAGTACCGTACACCTGGGAAAGGCGGGTTTGGTCCCAGCCCCAGAGGGATCTCAGCTGTCGCTCGGGGCCCGACCTATCTCGGTCCATCTAAGGGTCCGAGGCACAGCCCCGCCAAGAGGCCACAAGTGTCAGCTGCTTCCGCGGGAAGGGTGAGGGCTACCGGGGCACAGCCAATACCACCACCGCGGGCGTACCTTGCCAGCGTTGGGACGCGCAAATCCCGCATCAGCACCGATTTACGCCAGAAAAATACGCGTGCAAGTGAGGTGGGCGGGGGGGCGGGCGTTGGGACGTGCTGCTGCGGGTGAGACGGGAGGAGGGTAGTCACGGGCTTAGGGCTGGAGGCTGGCGGGCTAGGGCTGAGTGCAGCGCCTGCTTAGAGACCTTCGGGAGAACTTCTGCCGGAACCTCGACGGCTCAGAGGCGCCCTGGTGCTTCACACTGCGGCCCGGCATGCGCGTGGGCTTTTGCTACCAGATCCGGCGTTGTACAGACGACGTGCGGCCCCAGGGTGAGGCCCAAGCTTGGGGGCTACAGAGCCGGGGCTGGAAGCCTGGAACCGGAGGGCCGGGGCGGGGTCTCGGCCTGATGGCTGCCCGCACCGGCCGCAGACTGCTACCACGGCGCGGGGGAGCAGTACCGCGGCACGGTCAGCAAGACCCGCAAGGGTGTCCAGTGCCAGCGCTGGTCCGCTGAGACGCCGCACAAGCCGCAGTGAGTCCCTGGTGCTCCCGGCCCCGCCAGGGCCCTAACCCTGGGGCGGCATGCTTTGGTGTCTGGGACCAGAGCCTGGAAATGGTTGAGACTACCCTGCCACGATTTTGCTCCCGCTCCCGCCTCGGTTCACGTTTACCTCCGAACCGCATGCACAACTGGAGGAGAACTTCTGCCAGACCCAGATGGGGATAGCCATGGGCCCTGGTGCTACACGATGGACCCAAGGACCCCATTCGACTACTGTGCCCTGCGACGCTGCGGTGAGCACTAGTGACGCTTGCCCCATGACCCTGCCTCAGCCCCCACCACCAAAGGCTGGCTCCCTTAACCCCAGTGAACTTTGTCTTTCAGCTGATGACCAGCCGCCATCAATCCTGGACCCCCCCAGGTTAGGAGTTGGGCCAGTTATGGGTCAGGCCCTTTAGCCCACGACATCCACACAGTCTGGGTTTCATCCAGCCCACCCCATCCTACAGACCAGGTGCAGTTTGAGAAGTGTGGCAAGAGGGTGGATCGGCTGGATCAGCGTCGTTCCAAGCTGCGCGTGGCTGGGGGCCATCCGGGCAACTCACCCTGGACAGTCAGCTTGGGGAATCGGTGAGGCACAACTGCCTGTCTCCCACAGAGAGGAGCTGAGGTTGTGTCCTCTGTGGTTATGCCACTGGGGGCTGGGAATCTATCCCTGCCCCCAGAGGTCCTAGCCAGAAGATGGCAGGTCTAGCATCTGTCCCAGGAGTCTGTTTCCTGTCCTAATTCCCCACTCCTCTAGGCAGGGCCAGCATTTCTGCGCGGGGTCTCTAGTGAAGGAGCAGTGGATACTGACTGCCCGGCAGTGCTTCTCCTCCTGGTGAGCCTCCCTTGTGTTTGGGGACCCAGTCTCATCCCACCTTCCCCTTTCCCCAGGCAAGCTAACAAGTGAGCCTTGGGGCAACGGACTGAGAGTCACAAATGACCTAGCAGAGCTTCTCTCCCAGCCATATGCCTCTCACGGGCTATGAGGTATGGTTGGGCACCCTGTTCCAGAACCCACAACATGGAGAGCCAGGCCTACAGCGGGTCCCAGTAGCCAAGATGCTGTGTGGGCCCTCAGGCTCCCAGCTTGTCCTGCTCAAGCTGGAGAGGTATGTGGACAACCTGGGAGGATGTGAGGTGGGGCTGAGCCTTGTGGCCTCAGACCCTGAGTGCCCCCATTCTTGTTAAAGATCTGTGACCCTGAACCAGCGTGTGGCCCTGATCTGCCTGCCGCCTGAATGGTATGTGGTGCCTCCAGGGACCAAGTGTGAGATTGCAGGCTGGGGTGAGACCAAAGGTAAGAGCATAGTGCACAGGACTGCTGGTGGCCAGGAGGCCCAGCCCTGGATCTTCCTCCAGGACCGTCTCCTTCTCCCCATTCCCCTCACTGCAGGTACGGGTAATGACACAGTCCTAAATGTGGCCTTGCTGAACGTCATCTCCAACCAGGAGTGTAACATCAAGCACCGAGGACATGTGCGGGAGAGCGAGATGTGCACTGAGGGACTGTTGGCCCCTGTGGGGCCCTGTGAGGTTGGTAGCAGGGCCCTGGGCCAGCCCTGGAAGGGTATGGGGGGCTAGAAATGAACTATTTTATCATGAAGCAGGCTAGTCATTGCTGTGGCCCGGGGCCCTCATCAGTTCTCCTACCTGCCAGGGTGACTACGGGGGCCCACTTGCCTGCTTTACCCACAACTGCTGGGTCCTGGAAGGAATTAGAATCCCCAACCGAGTATGCGCAAGGTCGCGCTGGCCAGCCGTCTTCACACGTGTCTCTGTGTTTGTGGACTGGATTCACAAGGTCATGAGACTGGGTTAGGCCCAGCCTTGACGCCATATGCTTTGGGGAGGACAAAACTTTTAAGTACAGTCAACGACAAGACTTGTACTCAAGGTTGAGATTTAATAAAATTAATATTTTTACTACTTCACCAAGGACTTTCTTAAACGAAAATGGTTTTTCCCCCTGCAAGTAAACAGTAATGAAGAAGAGAATTATTCCTAGTGCAGTTTGTTTTCATGGTCTTAATTTTTGCTAAGACTCCACTGTTTTTGCCTTATCAATACAAGTGCCAACACAGTGAAAAGGCAAATATCATCTTAGTATTACTCTGAAAATAGTTCTGAGCTAATGGCCTACTGAAAGGAAAAGAGTGGCTCCTGCTATTCTATTAGACTTATTACAATTATCTTAAGTATTCTTTCTACCCTCCTTTAATTGAATGGAAACAGGGATGGATTGGAAGAGCTGTTTTTCTCCTTTCTTTCCCCCGGCAATATTTACCATTTAATGCCACTTACTAACACTCAAAGAAACAAAACCAAACTTCTCAATTGACAGTGCAGTGACCCAACAAAGACACGGGTTCTTGAATTCAAAGTGGAGCAGGAGAGACGGTAAATACACATTTACTTTAATATATATATATTTATTATTTATGTGTTTAAAGCACAAATTAGTTTGGTAAAAAACATCTCATGTCTGTTTTATTTCCACATCCCTGAGACTGACAAGGGGATGCCTATCAATTAATTCATTTAGAGAGCCATACACCACAAGAAATAAATTACTTGTCCTCTGGAGCTTGTCACAGGGGGATTTTTAAAAAACCATTAAACAGAAAGACAACTGTGCATCTTAGAAAGATAAAAGGCCAATTCTTCCTCTCCGGCTGATAGGTTCTTAATAATAGTGATATCTACTAATAAGGTGTTTTACATAGTGTAAAGCATGTTCACATACAAATTACTTAGCCTCTTTGAGCCTCAGTTTTCTTATATGTAAAACTGGATTAATAGTACATTTTGTGTTTAAAAAGATAATGTATATGAAGTGTTTACCATATTTCTTGGCATCTAGTTCAGTTCTCAGTAACTGATGTGGTGGTGGTGGTGGTCATAGTAGCAGTAAGATCCGTAGTAATAGTAGCAGCAGTTGTTTTAGAAATTAGTAACTGAGGCCTGGCAAAGTTAAAGGCTCTTTCATTAACACCCAGAGGGGAAGAAATGAAGCTGGTCTTCAGAGGCAGGCTATTTTCACTCTGTGTCCCAAATTTTCCCCCCTAGACCATTTTTATACTTCTGGGGCCTCAGAAAATATTCTCAGCTATTCTGTTAGATTGATCTCCTACCATCTGAGAGGGGGCTTCCTTCAAACAACCAAATTTCCAGGTATTTCTAAACTGCCCTTCCCCTACACCATTCTTTGATTCAGTATTTCAAGACCCCTAAGAGAAATGGTACATTTACATGTAAGCACAGGATAGTGAAGTATTTACAAAAGTGCTTTGGAGCCAGCAAATATGAATCAGAATCCAGCTTTCCTTTCCTACATACATGACATTGGGCAGCTAATTTCTAAGATTTTACTTCTTTATCTATGAAAGTGGAGTACTAGTACTTGCTCTGTGCAACTGTGATGGTTGTTACATGAGGTAGCATCTAGAAGCAGCTTGCACATTGCGAGACACCCAGTGGAAGGTCAATGAATGACTATTTGAGGACTAACTATTACAGAAATGTTTACTCTTCTGAGTCCTGATTTCTAGTCTCCTGGACTAAATAGGTTCACTGTTTTCCTCCCGGTTCAGTTTCCAGACACATCACAGAATTATAAGAATATTAAAAACTCAGGCTTATACCTACACAGGATTTTCTATAACCCTCTTTCTGCTTTGAGCTCCTAAAGCTATTTCATAGAAAAATGACCTTATTTTTAAATAGAGGGGGCAGTTGAAAATCAGTGAACGGGCCTACCCCCTAATGATTTTTTTCTCAGACATAATTATAATAATTAGCATTATAAAGTGCTAATTATCTTTGGACACAGAGGACCTGCACACCAGAGACAGAGGTCCGCATTAAGTAAAGTGGATTTCACTTTCTTCAGTTGTGAGATTTCTCTTTTTTCTTCTTTGTAATGATGCAAAGATATATCTTCCACCAAGCCTCATTTAAAAGCTTTTTCCAGTTAAGGAAACTATCTCTTGGCCATCCACAGCCAGACTGCATATTGAGATTATGGATATTCAAAGAAATTGTCTTTCCTTTGTATATTGTCATAACTTTTTGTGAAATGTTTGTTTTATAGTTCCAGGCCAGCACCTAGAACCTGGCTAGAATAAAAAACTGCAGAAATCATGAGTTTCTTGTTTGGATGAAAGAGCACACCTATTAACAAATGATAGACGGCTATCCTACTGTGAGTCCTGAAAACTGGTGGTGTGATTGTTGAATGGGTTAGGGGTATAGCAGAGAAACTCAGTGTGGGCTACATACAATTTCAGCTTGAATCACACTTAACAGATCCTCTGTTCCAACCATTTAAATTTACAAAGAAGAAACTAAGGCACAGAACTACTTGAGAAGAGAAGCAGAATTGAAAACTAGAGCTCCTGATTGTTCTCAAAATAATTTTTATCATACTGCATCGGGTTCTAAGTGAGAGGGCTTCTTATTTAGTAATGCCAAGGTCATGTGTTAACATGTAAAAAAAATTAGACGAGGAATGGGGCATTGGTGTAAGATTATACAGAGTGTAAAGTTGGGCTTTCTCTTATCATCTGTTGTCAACAACAGGATGATTGTTACTGTTACCCACTCCTTACCGTCATTCACACAGAGACATTGGATATTGAGGAGAGACTTTAAAACAGAATATTAGTAATGCAGAGCTATAAAGAGCCACGATCATATTAATACAATCCTCCATACACATAGTGACCTGTCTGCAGCTCCAGCCTAGAGAAACCCAGTTATTCACTTGTAGTGGGCAGCCCCATTATCAGAAAGCGCTATTCAATTGGAAATGCTCATCTGTGTTAGGTCAAAAACGACTTCCTCTAAATATCCATTCTGTGTATTGAAGTATAAATGAGTCCCACTTAAGAAAAAACAAAACAAACCAACTTCCAATGATTTAAAAATACTAACGTGACCCTCTTACGTTTACCTAAAGCTAGTGTTTCTCAAACATCAGCTGTATCAGAATCCCTGAAGGACTTGTTAAAACAAATTGCTGGTCTCTACTCTGAGCTTCTGATTCATTAAATGTGGGATGGTACCTGAGAATCTGCATTTCTAACACGTTCCCAGGTGACCCTGATGCTGTTGCTCTGAGAACCACTTTGAGATCCACATCTCTAAGCTCATCAGTCTGTCCGTTACACCTTACAAGACATACTTTCCTAATCTGACACCCTTCTATTTGTCTTTTTTTGGAATGCTTTAGAAATTTAGCAGTTATCTTTTTTATGTATTTTACATTTGTTACAGCTTTCCTTGGTGGACAGATATGAGTTTTCTACTTGAAAATAAACACGTTTTTCTTTAAAATATCATTAAATAAGAGTGTAATTAGTGATATAAAGCAAGATGACTAAAAAGAATCTCTCATTATTATGTTTGCACAGCCTGTATACAAATTATTTGAACTAGAAAGGATTTGCTAAGTAAATTATTTCTATTTCCCTCACTTAATAGTGAATATTATGGTGATTAGGGGAAAAAATAAGCTTTCTTTTTTCTTTTGAGATGGAGTCTCACTCTGTCACCCAGGCTAGAGTGCAGTGGCGCGATGTCGGCTCACTCTGTCACCCAGGCTGGAGTGCAGTGGCGCCATCTCGGATCACTAAGCCATCTCGGCCTCCCCAGCTCAAGCGATTCTACTGCCTCAGCCTCCCAAGTAGCTGGAATTACAGGTGTCCGCCACCATGCCCAGCTAATTTTTGTATTTTTAGTAGAGATCACCATGTTGGCCAGGCTGGTCTCGAACTCCCGACCTCAAGTGATCCGCCTGTCTTGGCCTCCCAATGTGCTGCGATTACAGGCATGAGCCACCACGCGCAGCTAAAAGAAGCTTTTCTGATAGTAACTTTGTTTTCCCATTCTGGAGTTTATGGCAGTATGAAAAAGACTGAATTTATAAGCAGAAGATCTGTTTTTGAAATCCGGGGACCTGTATTTCACAATGGCTTTGATGTGTTTTGATTGTGCACCTTTAGACAACTTATCAGTTTCCTCATTTTTATACGGCAATAAAATAGTAACAGCTACCCATTAAATTCTGTACAGAAGCTAGGGACAGACACAATATGACTTGCATATCTATAAAGGCTTTGTAAATGTGGGTATTATATCTAATGTTTATGCACATGCTGTTTGATTATTTTCATTTGGAATTCCACTCCATTAAAGGAAAAGTAACATACGAATTCAGATTCTTGTAAGTCTTCAGGCATGAGGCCTCCATTGACTAAGTACATTGCCTACATAATTTCTCCTAACCCAAATGAATCTCCAGTTAAACCAAGCTGGTGGTTATGTACTGTCTCCAGAGGATGCCAAGCATAAAGTCCTTGAGTATATTCATCTTGGATCCTCTGATTGGACAACTGCGGTATTGAGACTTCAAGTTCCCCCTTGAAGGCCCCAGACGGTACCTGTAATTTTACTCAAGTTTTAAATGTATACTCTTTGTTAAGAAAGAGTGACAATGATTTGATTTATTTTCCGTGACTGGGGTTAGGGATGGGGGAGACTCTAGGAATGTGACTTACCAGTGAGGTTCTAGTTTTATAAATCATAGGACAAGTTTTGATAGGCAAATGTTGGACTATAGGGCTGAGGTTGTTTTCCACCACAACATATAGACTTCTACTAGCCCTTGAAGGAAAAAACACGAGAAAATCAGTTGGGTCAGCTGAGTATTCCTTTATGAGTATGGAACAGACTTACATAACAATTCTGCAGGTAATGGCTCTGGAAAGGTCAACCACTTAGTTTTGGACAACTCTTTTCTATTCTGTATAACCACTTTTTCACCAAAATGATACTAAATAAATATGCTATAGAAAGCTATATTTTGACATGACTGTTTTAGGCAAAGATACACTCACCAACTTACTCCACAAGAGTTTCTAATCAGAGACTATCATATGGATCTATTTGAATTGCTCCCATGCTTGGCTGAGCCCAAAATAATTTACTGTGCGTATGTACACCAAGTGAGAAGGTTGAGGAGGTGTCACTTGTACATCTCTTTATTCTTTTTTTTTTGTATGTGTGTGTTATTTTCATGTGTTTTGAAAGGCTCTCTTGCTTAGCTTTTATTTTGCCATGAAAGATTTTTTTCTGTGCTATAACTGTATTTTTAAGTCTGGTTTGAGTTCAAGAAATCCACAAATTCACAAAAGATTAAGAATAATTTGTGAACAAAATGATGCAGAAATAAAAAATGCATTTTCCAAATAACTCCCTTGCAGTCCTTCTCCCCCAACTACCACTTTCTATTAAGTTTCTTCTTCCTACTCTATGAAGTGCGATGAGCTTTCAATTCATTGTATTTTAAGTATAAGCTATACTTACTAACCTTCACGTTATTCTTTGTTACTTAAATAAGCTTGCTTTCATAGTTCAATTGACGTACTGTTTAACTGATATTTTTAATTGATATATTTTGATATATATTGATAATTGATAGCTATATAATTCATTTGAGATATTTTGGGTATGGAGGGTTGGAAGGAATCCTTTCATAATTTTTCTACTTAAAAGAAATCTTTTTTCATTTAACAGCTTTTCCCATGGGGATAGAGTTTTCATGAATAAATCAAAGTCATTAAATGAGGTATATGGTACATCTTTTAAGAGTCACAGAAAGAAGCAACAACAATTTACCCAGGCAGAGGGTATAAGTTTAGACCTTGGTTGCCTGATTTGTGGGACAAGTTCTTTAATTTTTTTTCTTTATATTTTGACTTTTTTTTGGACTCTCTCCTCCCCTTCCAGGCTCCAGGTCAAATACTTGACACCTGAATGATGTTCAATTATTTAAAAGATGGATTGGCCAGCTCAGCTCCTGTCTCAGACACACTGTCTTTAAATGTATTTTCAACATGTCTTCAGACAGTTATTTTTCCTCTGTTCAATTTTGTTCATCTTCTTACTTAACCGTTCAAGTGCTCCTATTTCCTTTTTAAATGTAGTATTGAGAAGTGCAAACATTATTGGAAAAGAGAGTCTCACTAGCATAATTGTGCATTATCTTCCTCTTATATCGCCGGCCTCCCTGCACCCCCATGCCCACCTCCTCCTCGCGCCTCCATGCCGCCTCCCACTGCTCCAGCTCCTTGCAGCTGCGAGTCCAGTCACTGGTCACCTTTCGTATCTCCTCACTCAGAGCCTGGCTGGCCAAACCTGCCTGGTCCAGCTGTTCTCAGAGCATGGCATTCACCTGGGCCAGGCTGGCACTCCTGAATGGGGCACAGGGGATCAGTAGGCGCTCGCCCAGGGGGCCATGCTGCGAGCCCTGGCCCTCCCTGCTGCTCCTCCTCCAGCCAGATGAGGGCACTCTCCAGGTCTTGGCTGTGCTCTGCGTCCTGGGTGGCAGAGAGGTTAAAGCATCAGGCTGGGCAGGTGGAGGGCAGGGCCTGCCTCTGCCCCACCCTGGCACCCACCCTCAGCTGCTGCTGCTCCAGCTCTCCGGATCTCTCCAACAGCTGCTCCAGCTCCGAGAACCTCTTCTTGTACTGGAGAATCTGGGGATTGGGAGCTGATGGTGAGCCCCAGGGGTGGGGGCAGGGCAAAGTGAACACGTGGGAGGGAAAGAGCAGGAATGGGTGGCCCTGACCTTGCCCTGCAGCCGCTGCACAAGCTGGGCCTGCCGCTGCTGGCCCTCCAGGTAGGCCTGCAGCTTGCGCCACTAGGAGGCCTGCTCCTCCTGCAGCTGCCTCCGCAACTCCACGCTCTGGAGTACCAGCCCCCTGGGCTCTTGCATCTCCAGCTCACCAGATTCCAGCCACAGAGCCTGCTCCAGCTGCAGGGAAGGGCCCTGGGTGAGAGTCCTGGGCCTCCTGGGAAGGCAGGCTCAGGCCTCTGTAGGGGGTGGCAGGCTGGGCCCAGACCCACAATGCCTTGTAGGCTGATAGCCTGGCGCCCTGGGGAGCAGCACATGTGGGCAAGCCCAGGGGCAGTGCACGTGTGCATGGGGTGATGCAGCCATGCACGAGCACGCAGATGGGGCATGCATGGACACATGCAGGTGAGCCCACAAACCCAAACCATGCAAGCAAAGCTCAAAGGTGCACCTGGGGTCTACGTCAGGGGCCTCAGTACACCATGTGCCTCTCCTCCAGAACACTTAGCCCTGTCGTGGTTTCTGTTTATTACATTGATGCCTGTGTCTTCCCACCATGCCCCCACCCCAGTGTGAGCTCAGAAAGCCTCGATTTTTTGTTCCTCGTTGTATCTTAGTGCTATAATGGTGGCTGTGGAATGGCATGGCTCACGCTCGGTAAATATTTCTTGTGATGGTGAATTAATGGCATGAGCTCATGGGAATACATTCAAACAGAGGTGTCAATCCGCCTATGCATATCTGAGCTTAAAAATATGCACACACATAACACATACAGGCAACCTCAAACATCCCCAGGGGTACACGAAGGAACCCCCTCATATACACAGCATTAAGATTTGTAAGAGGTGCACACAGATGTTGCCCTATACGGTGCCTGCATATTAATGCCCACTTCTGGCTGGGTGCAGTGGCTCATGCCTGTAATCCCAGCACTTTGGGAGGTCAAGGCGGGTGGATCACTTGAAGTCAGGGGTTCGAGACCAGCCTGGCCAACATGATGAAATCCCGTCTCTACTAAAAATCGAAAAATTAGCCGGGTGTGGTGGCATGCACCTGTAATCCCAGTTACTCAGGAGGCTGAGGCAGGAGAATCACTTGAACCTGGGAGGCAGAGGTTGAAGTGAGCCGAGATCGCACCACTGCACTCCACCCTGGGCGACAGAGCAAGACTCCATCTTTTATTTATTTATTTATTTATTTATTTATTTATTTATGTATGTATGTATGTATTCATTTATTTGTCTCATGGGCTGAGCGAGGGGACCCCGGCTGGTGGAGGGACAGCTGCGTCCGGGCAGACCCCGGCCTCTTGTCGTGCCCCCGGCCCGCGACAACCCGGGCAGGATGGGCAGCAGGACACGGCGGGGCATCCGCGGAGCCCGTCGGGAACGCTCTCTTGGCCTCCGGTGCCGGGCAGCGGTGGGTGCGGCACCCACAGTGCCCACAGCGCCCCCAGCCCTGGGACGTGGCTCCAGCCCGCCCCCAGGCAGGCGGCCTCCTTCACCGGGAGCACGTCGGCTGGGCAACACAGAGAAACTTCAATTCTTAAAAAAACAAGACAGCCACCACAACAACAAAAACAAGAACAGAAATTAGCCGGCTGTGGTGACTCATGCCTCTGCTACTCCAGAGGCTGAGGTGGGAGGATTGATTCAACCAAGATGCCACCAGATACAGTGAGACTGTCTCTCAGAGAATAAGTCAAACAAACAAAAAAAGAGGCTGTGTAAGAGGTGACTCTGGGGACAGTGGAAAAACACTAAGGTTTTCAAGTGGTGTTAAAAGCCACTAGGCCTTGGGGACCATTGAGCAATCTACAAAGCACGGAAGCCTAGATCCCTGAGCTCTGCCTGCCAAGTACCACCACAGCTAACATGGGAGACCTCCCCCACAGAGACTGAAATTTGCCTCCCGAGGAAACAAGTGACTACAGACATCTGTCCCAGGACAGTAAACAAGAAAACAAGGTCTCACAAAAACAAAAACAGCTGACCACAGCATACAATCACTGAGACCGAGCCTGCGACTATAGGCGAAAAAAAAAAATGCTGTCCATTATTCATACCATGAAAGACCAGGGGAAAGTGCGAACGCAGTCCCCTACTACTGTTGTGGGAATCAGGAGAACAGAGAGACCAATGGGTGGAACAGGAGGATTTATTGACTGCACTGAGGCCCAGCAGATGAAAATCCAAAGGCTGAGCCCCGAACAAAGACAGGGCTTAACTTTATACACACTTCTGAAAGGGGGTTGGCTAGTTTGAATGGCGCGGCGGGAATTTGATGGCATGAAACTCGGGGGCAGGCAAGAGGGCTTATAGAAGCAGAACAAAGGCAGCTAATCAAACTGTCACAGGTCTTGCAATGCAAGTATAGCTGGTGACCTTGCAGCTGCACTGAAGGGAAATCAAGAACTTAACAAAACTTGAATAATTAGAAATGGGAAGGGGGAAAGAGAAGGTAGTAAAGGCATTTGTTGTTTTTTCCTCTTATCTTTGCTAGGGGCTTACTGTGTTGAGAGAGTCTCCGGAACTCACTCCTCGGGGCTCTGACTTTTCAGATCGTGTTACCGAGGATCTGCTAGGGCTCTATCTATGGCAGGTCTTGGAGTCAGCCAAGTACAGGGAAACCTGTCTTTTCCTTTTAACTTCTGCCTTATTACTACAAGTTGTACAGCACACCATGCCTGGTTTTCATCAGCAATGTTTCCTGAGGTTACAGAAAGATTTCTAATCCTGGGAGGAAACACTCCCTTGAAGCAAAAGTGTTCTCCCCCAAAAAATGCAAGGAGCTATCGTCTTGATAGCCAGGCAGATAATTCTCAGGTTTTGCCCCACAGAATCTCTATCTAAAATACAGCAGTGGTCATGCCTAGTGAAAAGTTTGAGGGAACTCGCCCAGTGTTGGGTTTCTTCAGAGCCATATATATAGATATAACCAAATATCCTAAAAGACACTGCCCTTCATCATTCCATGCTGTTAGACATTTACAGGACCATGGATGGTGATCTCCTCCAGACAAAAATAAATGCTGGTGCAGAATAGGTAAGTGTATTATAATTTGAGGACATCAGCTTTTGGGCATTTTAAACCATGGGTCAGACATGTTAGAGCAAGAGTCCAGGTTGATAGCAAGAGGGAGTGTTTTTCTTTTAATTTGTCAATAGCAAAGTGATGTTTGCCACTGTCATTTCAGAGTGAGGTGGCAATTTGTTGTTGTTTGGTTTTGTGGGTTTTTGTTTGTTTGTTTGTTTGTTTGTTTTTGAGACAAGGTCTCACTGTCACCCAGGCTGGAATGCAGTGGCATGATCAGGGTTTACTCCTGCCTTGACCTCATGAATTCAAGCAAACCTCCTTACTAATCCTCCCGAGTAGCTGGGACTACAGGCACATGACCCCACACCCTGGGGTGTGAACTGGGATTTGATGTTTTCAGTTGGCTCTCTAATGGAATAGGTTCCCTTACTCTTGTAGAATCAGATTGTCTTCATGATTATCATTCTTGTGTGCATTATATTTTTACTACCCTGCTATATTTTTTGTATTTTTCTTTTTTCTTTTTATTTTTTTCTTTGTGAGACAGAGTCTCGCTCTGTCTCCCAGGCTGTATTGCAGTGGCAGGATCTCAGCTCACTGCAACCTCCACCTCCTGGGTTCAAGCAATTCTTTTGCTTCAGCCTCCTGAGTAGCCACCTGGCTAATTTTTGTATTTTTAGTGGAGACAGGGTTTCACCATGTTGGCCAGGCTGGTCTCAAACTCCTGACCTCGGGCTCCCAAAGTGCTGGGAGTACAGGCATGAGCCACCATGCCCAGCCTAACCAAGATTATTAAACCATTCTAATTTGTCAAAAGAGTCACACTGATTTTTAAAAAATAATGTAATGGGCCAGGTGCAGTGGCTCATGCCTGTAACCCCAGCACTTTGGGAAGCCATAGCAGGAGGATCATGAGGTCAGGAGTTCAAGACCAGCCTGACCAACATGGTGAAACCCCGTGTCTACTAAAAATACAAAAATTAGCCAGGTGTGGTGGTGTGCGCCTGTAATCCCAGCTACTCAGGAGGCTGAGACAGGAGAATTGCTTGAACCCGGGAAGCAGAGGTTGCAGTGAGCCAAGATTGCACCACTGCACTCTAGCTTAGGCGACAGAGTGAGACTACATCTCAAAATAAATAAATAAATAAATGCATATAATAATAATGTAATGAACTTTTTCATGTCTTTATATAATAAATATTACATTATTTAAATTGTTCAAAAGCATCAAAGATTCCTCTCTGCTATCAACTTCATTTATTTTATTGTACCAAACTACCAGGACCATTAATTTAATCTACAGCTAAATCTCTTATTTTTTCGTGTTAGAAATTCAACAAGAAAATTTTTCCCTAATGAAACCTCACATTTCAAGCATAAGGAGCCTGGGCGAGGTGGCTCACACCTGTAATCCCAGCACTTTGGAAGGCCGAGACAGGTGCATCACTTGAGGTCAGGAGTTTGAGACTAGCCTGGCAAACATGATGAAACCCTGTCTCTACTAAACATATAAAAATTAGCTGGGCGTGGTGGCGTGCGCCTGTAATCCCAGCTACTCTGGAGGCTGAGGCAGGGAAATAGCTTCAACCTGGGAGGCAGAGCTTGCAGTGAGCTGAGATGGCACCACTGCACTCTAGCCTGGGCTACAGAGCAAGACTCTGTCTCAAAAATAAATAAATAGATAAATAAGCATAAGTAGTAAAAAAATAACATAAATTAAAAAATAAGGCACAGGGTCTTGCTCTGTTATCCAGGCTAGAGTGCAGCGGGGCAATCATAGCTGACCAACTTGGAACTTCTGGGCTCAGGCAATCCTCCTGGCTCAGCTTGCCTTGTGTTTTTTTAGAGATGAGGTCTTGCCCTGTTCCCCAGGCTGGTCTGCAACCGCTGGCCTAAAGCAATCCTTCCGCCTCAGCCTGTTGAGTTGCTGGGAGTACAGGTGCAAGACATGCAGCCTAGCATTGTAGTAAAACAATTTTCAACAAATTCTTAATTTTCTTTCCTTTTTTTTTTTTTTTTGAGTTGGGAGTCTCATTCTGTCACTCAGGCTGGAGGGCAGTGGCACAATCATAGTTCACTGCAGCCTGAGATTACAGTCATGCATTATCATGCCCGGCCAACTTTAAAAAATTAGCTAATACTTAAAAATTTGTAGAGACAGGGGTTTCACTGTGTTGCCCAGGCTGGTCTCCAACTCTTAAAGTGCTGGGACTGTAGCTATGAGCCACCATACCTGGCTTAATTTTCTTATTTTAATTTTATATAAGTGATTATTATTGTTCCTAAGATAATTGGGGCAGTGACTCCTTTACAATTGTAGAGATCTAATTTGTCTATTCACTTCACTGAAAGAGTATGCCAATTTGTTTCATGAGAAAATATCCTATATTTATAAAGCAGGAAAATTCCTTCCACCAAACTAGGGTGCATTCTAAAGAAACGAATTGTGCTAAGTAACATCACTTAAAGTGAAAACAGAGGCAATGGTATCTATTAACAATGTTTATCAGTGAAGGAAATAAACTGAAAAGATGAACATCATTAGATCCTTGGAGGGCCTTCATTGCTGAAAATCTGAGTAACACTGTGATACTCTTTTGAGTCTGGCAGGACATTCTCTTTCCAGGGCATGTAACAGTGGGTGAATAATTGCTTTTCATTCATTTCCATTAAGGGCTGAACTTCCTTAATGTTCTGGAGATTATTAAATTTGATTTGTATAGTTGTGAAAAGTACTCATATTGCTGATTCCATTGCTTATATGTGATCATATAAATCTTTTCTCTTTCTGTAGTGTGGTTTAAACTTAATCCTTAAAGGGCATGTATTTGAATTTTTCAGCTGGTTAGAAACCTGAATATACCAATCAAATAAAACTGCTCCTTACATGCTACAGATTCAGTTTTCTTCCTGTACTAAGATGTCTTTTAGATACAGTAAATTCGTTAAAGCCAAGAGCCCCTAGGAAACGAAGTTGGGTGGGAGGGGGGACATCGAGTAGTAAGATCACTCTTGTAACAGAGATGCCACTCTTGCAGATATTGACAACAATTGGGCCTATAAAATGTTTACCAAACATTGGAAAGACAAGATCTGAACAACTTATCATTGCTGCAGTCTCAAATATCAGGAAATGCCATTATTCTCAGGACAATAAATAGACAATAAAGAAGACTCACAGACCAGATTAGCTGTCATGTATCACCAAACAGGGACTGGATCCTTGTCAACACGACCCAACAGAGATTGTCCCCAGAAATTCACTTCATAACCTCAAAACCAAAAACCCACACTGATGGCAAAAAATAATGATGCAAAGAATGAGAGAGAAAGAGAGAGAGAGAGAGAGAGAGAGAGACCTGTCCTATAGCCATACTCAGTGGGTAAAAGCCAAAGGGCTCAATTTCTGCTCATGATACTTAATAGAACATAGGGAACATGAGCCAATAGCTCAATGGGTTCAGATCTGCACCAAGTGCCTGTTGGACGCAGGATTCTACTGTCTCCAATAATATGTCTCAGATGCACTAATTTTTTTTCTTTTTTTGAGACAGAGTCTTACTCTGTTGCCCAGGCTGCGGTGCAATGGCGCGATCTCGGCTCACAGTAACCTCCACCTCCCGGGTTCAAGTGATTCTCCTGCCTCAGCCTCCCGAGTAGTTGGGATTACAGACACACACCACTGCGCCCGGCAATTATTATTATTATCATTATTATTATTATTGTTATTATTATTATTGTGCGTGTGTATGTGTTTTTAGTAGAGACGGAGTTTTGCCATGTTGGTCAGGCTGGTCTTGAACTCCTGACCTCAGCTGATCAAAAGTAGGTGAGGTCAAAAAACATACCCTGGGAGAGGCTGGCACAATGCCCAGAACCGCTATCGCTAGGCCTGGGGTTTTCCTCTGTAGTGGAATACTAGTATTCATGTAGTGCAGGGACAAAACCAATTAGATAGTTCTGGGAGTTAAAAAGAGATGATTTACAGTGCCATTTGAGAAGGGGTATTAAGGAATTTGCCAGGGCACTGACGCGTGTCAGGTGTAAACCTCAGGTTGAGAGAGAGCTAAGTATTTTCTGTCCATGAAGGTGATAAGCGAGGGCCTGAAGAAAGAGGGACTGGGGAGGACACTGGCACCAGAAATAGGAAAGGGCTTCTTGGGGGTGGGAAGGATGGGTCACGGTGCTATCTAGAAAGTTGCCTGGCAGTGGATGTAGGATGTGGGAGTGAGACATCAAACATGAAGCAGTCGCTTAAAGTCTGAAGAAACACTAGATATATGAACTGCAGGAGATAGTAGGGAAACTGGACCGGCTCCTCATAAAACTTCCCGCCTTCTATCTCCGGGAGGATCGCAGGGCATTTCCGCCAAGACAGGTGAGACTGCGGTTCTGACCTGCGGGCCTCCGTGCATATGCGCTAGGGCACCTGGGGGCCGGCAGAGCCGTTCCCCTACGCAAAGTAAGCGTGTTTTGTCTACAACCCAACGGGGACACTGAGAGCCCCAAAGGCCCTGCTTTCTTCCCAGAGAACAGCGCCCATCTGCATAATTTCTACCTGGCTCTATGAGGTGAGAACACATTCCCCGCTAGCACAGAAATCCTACAAACTCCTGTGGGGGCTGCGTTTGGAAGCAGAGGCTGTGTAAGAGGTGACTTGGGGGGTAGGGAAAAACAGGAAGATTTTCACACAGGGTGAGAACCCAAGAGACTGGAGACCACGGACCAATCCCTGCAAAAAGCAGCCAGGGTAGAAAGGGAAGAGCTGAGCGGACTTCACGATAGCTAATTTGTGTTACAAAGCCGATACGGCTGATGCTCGCTTTTTCTCCTATGGCGTGCAGGCCACATGTTACTTCCTATTCCCCAACCGTCTACTGTAGGATTAACACCTAAGACGCCAACCAAGACACAAACCAATACAAGAAAAGATATGACCCTTGGCGTACAGTCTGTTTTTGAAACTCCAGAAAGTCAGGGGAAAGCGCGAACGCAGTCCCCCACTACCACAAATTATGCAGTCGAGTTTCCCACATTTGGGGAAATCGCAGGGGTCAGCACATCCGGAGTGCAATGGATAAGCCTCGCCCTGGGAAAACCACCTTCGTGATCATGGTATCTCCCCTGCCAGGTAAGTATGAGAGCTTGGGCCTCTGCCCCGACACAGCCTCATACGCCTCACTCTTTACACACACGGTCACTTGCCCCGCGCACTCCCGAGCCCTTTCCAGCCCTGACACACAGCTGGGATTCTCACTTCCGATCAGCGGTCCTGAACCCGCTCCCAGGGCACGGGAACTCCTTCGTGGTGAAGCAGCAAGTGGCGAAGCAGCAGCCTCTGCGCTGCCTCATCTACATAGAAGTCGCCCTGTCCGTGATGTCACCGACAGTGCCTTGCCCAGTCCCCGTCTGCCTTTCTGCCACTCAACCGACCAATCTGCTGCCAGAGCCGCCAAGGGGAAGTGACGTCTGCCTCTCCCTTTTTCCCTCCCGCCCCTGCGTCTGTTCTCTCCCAAAGAAGCTGGTCCTTAGCCTGTGTTAAGGAGCAACCTTTCGGTGGCCAGATGGAGCCGGGGCATCCTTCTTCAAATAATGGCTTTTAATTCGCAGACTAGAATGTTTCGGATTACAAAAGAAACCGGTTCTCTTCACATCCTTATCCTTGTGATGCAGCATTCCGCTTGCAATTGGAAGCCGTTTAATATCAGAGAGAAACCATATTTATGAAAGTAAAGAGGCTGCTCAGATGACTGCAAACCAGCCTTCCTTACTGGTTTTATCACTGGTAATGTTATAAAGACAGTTGTCCAGTTTCATGAATCTTGTAGGTTTTTTTTTTTTTTGATGTTGTTTTTTTGCAAAAATCCGTATTGTAGAAAAATATGCTGTCCCAGAAGAGATGATTGGACACTCTCAAGCGTGGTGCTGGACTTTGTCATCTCTTGCACAGCCATCTCCACACCTTAGTGCTTACCTCATGTTAGTTTTTTATATTCTGCAAAGACGAAACCAAAATAATCCAAATTTGACACAAATACCTGGGCTACATCTTATTTGAGATGTTTAACAAATGTCTGGATCATCTTTTCTTATATATTACGCAGGAAACACTGTGAAGTAAGCAAAGTTGGAATGCCCAAGTGAAAGACCATTTGAATATTTACAAGTAGATTTCAGACAGGAATACTACAGGGTGGTCACAGGATAACAAATTCTAGGCAGCAGATTTACATGACTTGAGGCTGTGGGCTGTTAAGACGCTGAAAAACCAGGGTGTGGACCAAGCTGGCTAAGGCTGAGTGGACCCAACGTGGTGCTGGATTTGATGGAGGTTTTACCTAGGCCCTCATTATATGCTCATTAACATACTAAATCACACACCCGCCAGTGCCATGACAGTTCTGAGACCAGTGTTTGATGTACAAATGGCACCACAGTTCCAAGAAATCTCCACCTTTACCCAGGAATTTTCGTGAACATTCCACTCCTTGGTTAAAGAAACCCATCAAGATGAAACCCCAGAACCCATTATTCTCTCTTGGGTATGCCCAAGCTCCCCTTTCTTGAGTGTGTACTTTTTGCTTTGCAATAAATCTCTTCTTTCACTATCTGCTGACTCATCTTTGACTTTGTTCTCGCGATGGTGTCAAGAGCCTGGACACCACGGCTGGGGTCGAGATCCCACCAGTGTCCAGGGACCTCCCCCAGCCCACCAGTATCAGATTCTATTCCATTGCTCAAATCACAAAACATCGAGTGGAGAGTTCTCCTTGGAGACCCTAAAGTAAAGATTCTGTGGCATGGTGGCCAGTTAGGCCACTGGAAGCATGGCAAAATATTGAAAATGAGGGATTAGGTGACAGTGTAGTAACTGCTGAATACTAAATACTTGATCCAGGCCCCATTCCCTGGAGATTGACAGGGAGACACATTGTCCAGGTAGTAGTGGAGAAATGCTTTCTGGGTATCTGACCAGCCTTTGTGGAAAGAACTGGCACCATCCTGCAGATGTAACCGCCTGATGGGTTCTTCCTGACCAATGTACACAAAAATTCAATTCATGGAGACCATGGCACTGCAGGCAAGAGTTTCATTGACACAGGCCAGCCACGACATGTGGGAGACAGAGTTATTACTCAAAGCAATCTCACTGAAGGCTTGGAGGTAAGGGGTTTTTCAAAGATAGTTTGGTGGGGAGGGGGCTAGGGCTTGCGTGGTGCTGATTGTTGGGGATGAAATCACAGGGGCGTGGAAAATGGTCCTCCTGCATGGAGTCAGCTTCTGGGTGGGGGCTAAGGGACTGGTTGATTTTCGGGCCAGATGGTGCCTTCCAGCAGTCAGAAATGCAAAAGCCTGAAAAGACATCTCAAGAGGCCAATCTTAGGTTCTACAATAGTGATGTTCTTCACAGCAGTAATTGGGGAAGCTGCCAATCTTGTGACTTCTGGAATAATGGCTGGTAATTATTTAACGAGGCATACATCTTAGTAGAAATCAGGCCCCTTTCATCCTTCTAACTTGGTGGCCTTTCATCCATTTTACAGGGGTAATTTAGTTTTGGGGAAGGTTATCATTTAAAGCAGCCTTTTTGGCTGTCCTCAACCTTTTTGTCACCAGGGACTGGTTTCATGGAAGACAATTTTTCCATGGAAGGGGGTGGTGGATGTTTTCCAGATGAAACTGTTCCACCTCAGGTCATCAGGCATCAGTTACAGTCTCATAAGGAGTGCGCAATCTGGATCACTCACATGAGCTGTATCACCACTCAGCTCTCACTCCAGCCTCAGGTATCAGCAAGACCTCACCAAAGATTACTGTTTAATTGTCTCTGTGTGTGTTTTTGTTTGTTTCAGGTAACAACTAATGTTGGAACTATGAAAAGCTCTTCTCTACTTTTAACAAAGCTTAGTCACAAACAGTTCCCCAGTTGATGAGAAAAACTAAAACAACAGAACAATTGAAAGTCCGAATCTGCAAGTTCATCTCTGAGAACCGAATTTTACAGCCACTCCAGATTTGTACTCCAAATGGATAGTTTGATTGTAGAAATCACATCCCTTCAGTCTGCCAATGTGATAACTGCCCAAGAGAAAGTGATGCCTACATTCATAGATAATCCCCTTTCCCCCATCCTATATATAACTGGAGTCAACAGCAGCTGGAGGAAAATGGCAAGAACTTGGAATCAAGATTAGGTTAGAATAACACTGCTGTAGACAGTTTATCAGCTCTTCAGCATATGTCCATTTTCCTTGAAGGATGAGCCTTTAGAAACCTCTGACAATAAAGTTTATTTTACATCCATTCCCTTGCCTATGATTTTTTCATACAAATCACAATTATAAAACTTTCTTGCTCCAGCTAAAAGCAGGAAACTCAATCATGAATGTGTTCACTAAATATATACCACAGAATGATAGCAACCAGTCTGAATGCATCACTTGATTCCAAAATTAAATGTTAGCCCTCAGTGGTGCAACTACATGTATCTCCAACTCTGGAAGCCACAGGCAACATATTCCTGTTTCCTTGCAGGGAAACGGATCTATAAGCAGGCCGGCAGTCTCACACGTGTACATTCCTGGGAAACCCAAGGAAACAATGATAGTGAAGCAGGGCAGGCAAGCCCCCAAACTGAAAGACTTTTGCTAATGTCACGATTGGCTTTCCATGTTATTTGAAGACTGAGATCTCCATGAGGAATGAAGATAGGTAATGCCTAAGGCTGAGGCATGACCTCACTGGGTCACCTTAGCTGTGAAGTGAGGTCAGTTGTCACCTTGCAAACCTTTTGGTAATCCAAATCTTGGAATGATTTCTTTAAGAATTTAGACACTTCCAGTACTTTTCCTGTCCTTGTGGGGAAAGCTTCTATCCACCTGTTGAAAGTGCCTATAAATACTAGCAAATCTTGTAGTTCCCTGTAAGGTGGCATCTGGGTTAAGTCTGTCTGCCAGTCTTCACCATGGTATGTTCCTTGGTGTTGTACAGGTTTAAGCAGGGATCGGGGTATGGGGTGGCTTCCTGAGTGGTAACCCTTTTTATAGTTTAGAACAGTCCCTTCCCGAAGAATATTTAGGAAACTAATTTGAATGGAAAATCCCGTCCCAAATGTGAGGAATCATGAAAATGTTTAATTATTTCCCATCTGTCAGCCTCAGGAATAGAGTTTGTTCTTTTCTACCAACCATCCAGAGGGTCTCCCTGGAAGCCTTTTACTCAGTCCCTTTAATTTCCTTAGGGGTATAGTATGGTGTCACTGACACGGATGCAGTACCTGGTAGTAGCGCAGCAGCTTGAAATACCAGGGTTTCCTTAGTTGTGGCCTTAGCTGCTCTTTCCACCAGGGAATTTCCTCTAATAATAAAAGTGTCTCCCTTCTGGTGTCCCCTGCAGTGAGTAATTGTTATTTCTTTGGGAGTTGGACAGCATCTAAAAGTTCCAAGATCTGAGTAAAGTTGTATGGGGCATCCCTTGGCTTTTGATAGTTCCCTTTCCTTCCCTATGGCTGCATGAGCATGGAGCACCAGGAACCCACATTTAGAGTCAGTCAACACATTGACTCTTGAGGGTTTTGGTTTTCTTCTTCTTTTTTTGAAACGGAGTCTTGCTGTGTCGCCCAGGCTGGAGTGCAGTGGCATGATCTCAGCTCACTGCAAACTCGGGGATTCTCATGTCCCAGCCTCCCAAGTAGCTGGGATTACAGGCACCCCCCACCACACCTGGCTAATTTTTGTATTTTTAGTAGAGACGGGGTTTCGCCATGTTGGCTAGGCCGGTCTCGAACTCCCAACCTCAGGTGATCCACCCACCTTGGCCTCCCAAAGTGCTGGGATTACAGGGGTGAGCCACCGTGCCCAGCTTAAGTCTTTTCATGGTTGGAAGGCCCTAATTAGAGCAGCTAATTCTGCTTTTTGAGCAGAAGTCTGAGAAGGTAAACCCTTGGCCTCAATGATTTCTTGTTGGCTAAGCTTCCTTTCTTACTCCCTCATGAATATAGCTATTTCCATCTCTAAAGCACTCAACATTTGGGTTAGACAAGAGCTTGTCTTCAAGGTTGGGCCTTCTAGAGTAGAGCTCTTCCGTGGTTTCCACACAGGAGTCAATGAGTTTGGGAGCTCTTTCTTGAGACGTGAGGTGCAGCAACAGAGTAGCAGGGTTTAAAAATCAGCATATTTTCAGGGTAACATCTCGGGTGTCAAGCAGAAGGGTCTGATATTTAAGTAACTGGCCCTCTGTTAGCCATTGGTGTACTTTTGCCTCTAGGACCCTCTGTACTGTACTTCATGGGGTGGCAGGGGGTGGGGGTGGGGTGGTATGGCATCTAATTGTTGTCCCAAGGTAAACTTAGTGGTTTTTTCTAACAATAGAGTGATGGTAGCCACAGATCTCAAGCTTCCTGGTCACCCAGCTGCCACCTGGTCTAGCTGTTTAGAGAAATAAGCCACTGGTCCAAAGTAATTCCTCAGTCTTTGAGTTAGAAAATCCAAAGCTGTCCCTTGTTATTCATCCACATAGAGGGTGAAAGGTTTTTCTAAGTCCGAGAGTCCTGAGGCAAGGGATGTCCCTGGCTTTTCTTTTAAGGCTAAGAATGCCTTTTGACAGGTTCCAAGCTCCGACTCCTGGGTTCACACCATGCTCCCACCTCAGCCTCCTGAGTAGCTGGGACTACAGGCGCCCACCACCACAGCCAGCTAATTTTTTGTATTCTTAGTAGAGACGGGGTTTCACTGTGTTAGCCAGGATGGTCTGGATCTCCTGACCTCCTGATCCACCCGCCTCGGCCTCCCAAATTGCTGGGATTACAGACGTGAGCCACCGCACCCGGCCAACAATTTTTTTTTTCTTTAATGAACAGAGCATCAGTGAATGATAGTGCAAGTTTAAGACACCTAATAGACAAGTTAAAGGAGTCCTCCAGGCAGAAGGAAACTGACACGGGATGAAAATCTGGATGAAAAAAAAAAGACACTAGAAATGACATCTACAAAGGCAAATATGTAATTTTAACATCTGACTGTTTAGCCGGGCACGATGGCTCACGCCTGGAATCCCGGCACTTTGGGAGGCCGAGGAAGGCGGATCACTTGAGGTCAGGAGTTCGAGACCAGCCTGGCCAATATGGTGAACCTTCCTCTCTACGAAAAATTCAAAAATTAGTCAGATGTGGTGGCCCAAGCTTGTAATCTCTGCTACTCAGGAGTCTGAGTCAGAAGAATGACTCGAATCCAGAAAGCAGAGGTTGCCGTAAGCCAAGACTGTGCCACTGCACTCCAGCCTGTCCGATAGAGTAAGACTCGTCTTAAAAACACCACCACCAACAACAAAAAAACCCAAAAACAAACAAACAAAAACACATCTGACTCTTGAAACAAAAGTAATAGAGATGGATTGTAAGGTTTATAACAGGTGTAAAGTAAAATGCATGACACTAGCATAAAGGCAGGGAGAGGAGTCATGTGAAGAGGTATGATGCCACTTGAAGGCAGACTGTGATGGGTTAATTTTTGTGGAAAGCAGGGCAGAATTTTTGAAGTTTGTGTCTTCAAATACTTTGTTTCCCATACATACAAGCTAGTTTGTGCTGCAGAGATCTTATTTTCTAGGAGGCTCGAAGGGGGACCTTCTGCTGTCTGTCCTCATGGGATGCACAAGACACAAGGGAACAGTCTTTCACTTTTAAATACAGTGATAGGTCTGAGGAGATAGATACAGCTGCAATTTTTTTTTTTTTTAAATGAGATGGGATTCTCACTGGTCTTGAACTTCTGAGCTCAGTGGAGGCTTCCCCTACGTCGGCCTATCAAAGTGTTGGGATTAATAGGCGTGAGGCACTGCACCCGGCCACAACCACCAACATTTAAAATCACGTCCTTGGGTGGTCTCGAACCACCAACCTTCCGGTTAACAGCCGAACGCGCTAACCGACTGCGCCACAGAGACAACGTCAATTGTCTATTTTCATCTCTATATACATTAAGCAATCACAAAACCCTAGGGGTTGCCATTCGCTTTCTGCGGGACAACTGTGCAGACTACAAAGCTTCGGAAAACCGGAGAGGCTGAGTCGACTAATCGTCTTGCTGCACGTTAGAAACGCGTGCATTGCGTGACTCTGAAGCCAGAAGGGCGGCCGAATGGCCTTCACCCTGCGTTCACCCTCGCCTGCTTCAGAAGCCAGTGCCTCTGGAAATGCCTGGATCTGCGACCCCAGCCTGAGCCAAGTGGGGCCCAAGGGAAGCTGAACTCCCCGACGGCTCTCACGGTAGCTCTTTCTGTTCTTTTGCGCCGCCTTCATGCAGTCATCTGCTCCGCTTGCTCTCCCTTCACTCAACTCGGCTTCAGTAGATGGGGTCGGTGGGGCGGGAGCGGGAAAGAGGCAGGGGAGTCAAAAGGGAAAACGTGAAAAGGAGGAGGGAGAAGCAGGGGAGACCAGGACTAGACAATGGGACAGCCCAGGATGCCCGTGCAGAGGGCACCGGCTGGATGCAGAGAAGATGGGACATGTATCAGAATGGAGAGGGGGAAATGGGGAGAAGATGTGAGAGAAAATCACAAGAACCTGTAGCTGCCCAAGAATAAAGAAGTAAAAATCGCATAATGTTTTTACATTAATAAAAATAAAATCGGGGGACCAGGGGCAGTGGCTCACGCCTGTAATCCCAGCACTTGGGAGGCCGAGGTGGCTGGATCACTCACTTGAAGTCAGGAGTTCGAGACCAGCGGGGCCAACATGGTGAAAGCCCGTCTCTACTACAAATACAAAAATTAGCTGGGCGTGGTGGCGCACGCTTGTAGTCTCAGCTACTCAGGAGGCTGAGACAGGAGAATCGCTTGAACCTAAGAGGCGGAGGTAGCAGTGAGCCGAGATCGTGCCACTGACCTCCAGCCTGGGCAACAATGCGAAATTCTGTCTCTCAAAAAATATATATAAATAAATAATAGAGGGGTGGGGAAGCAAAACGATGGGCAGTAGGTGTGGGGCGCCTTGGGATTCTCTAGTGGTTAGTAGTCTGCATTGTGCCTGCAGCAACCTCTGTTCTAATCCGAATCCTGGTACAGTCAGACTCTATCTTGGACCCACTGGGGCGAACCCACGTGTCTTTTGGTTTGCTTTTGATTCCTGCAGCAGCTGCGGCCTTTATCTGCAGCCAGAAAGCCGGAAAGCAGGGTTTACCGCTGGCCCCACAGCGCCATACTGTCTGGGGAAAAGAAGGAAACCCAAGAGTACACAAACAGTGGCCCAAAGAGAAACCTTCCAAGTGCTCTATGCCTCACCGTTTAGCAGAAAATATCAAGCAACTCTCAACCTAGCTGGTCTGTAGCTTCCACGAATGAAATAATGTATTTATTGCAGTCTTTCTGGTTGAGATATTTCAAATATTTGGTGGAGCTTTTAATGAGAGAGAGAGACACTCTCGAGTGTGGAAGAAAAAATGAGGGGATGTGAAGATGAGGCGACTTTAGGACAGAAAAAAAAAGAGACAAGCCATGTAAACGTTTTCGGGTAGGCGTGAGGCGATGTCAGTCTTGAACCCCCTTATGTCAGGTAAAGAGCGCAGCCTCTTCTAGCACAAACACCGTTTCCCACATGGAGGAAATCACAGGAATCAGCAACTCTAGAGTGCGATGAAGAAGCTTCACTCTGGGAGAACCCCCTTCGTGACCACGGTCTCTCCCCTGCCAGGTAAAGTGGAAATGAGCACATGGCCTGCAGGGACAGCACAGCCTCCTCGCCCTGGCGGGTCGCTCAGGGTCACCACCCTCCCCACTGCCGCCCCTCGCCATTCTTCCAAACCACTCTCCACCAAAGATTCCACCGACAGTCACCCCACAAGACAACCCAGGCCGCCTCTCAGCAGCGGCTCCCGCCCCGCAGCCACCGCGCCCTCTCACCCCCCAGCGGTTCTGCCCGCCGCCTCTGCCGAGTCTGCGCACTTCACCTCCCTGGCTCCCGCTCTCCCCTGAGCTTACAGTGGACTCGGGGTTCTTCCGAACCCCTCTTGGGAGTACTGAATGGAAAAGGGGGAGCGTGCGCAAGTGCTTGGTAGAGTGTAGACGTCGTGGGATTTGACTGTGGTACCATCGCTTCGACGTCCTAGTGCTGATTTTTCCACCTGCCTTCTGCTTAGGGCACCGGCAGCAGTTTTCCATCTGTGCCTACTCCACCTGCTGTCCTTGTTGGGTCAGCGAACATCGCCTCCCTCTACCGCTCAATCAGCAAACGGGACCGCCGTCGAGGACCTCACCCGCTACTTACCCCCCTAACAAATTCGCGGGCATCGCCTCCGGTCGCCTCTTCCCAAGGCCTAACGAGCGCCTTCGCTGGCAACGGAGGTGAGGAGGCTCCGCTGACTGGCTGGTGCCCGTGTCCGGGGCTGCCACAAACGCCACGACTTGGCTTGGCCTCTCTCTTAGTTATTCGCAGCTCAGCCCGATGGGCGTCTCCGGGGTGGCGACGGGAAAGAAGGTGGGCTTATTGGGTGCAGCTCCACGGGGGCTGGCATCTCTGCCGGGCTGTGTACACCGGACCGAGATGCTCAGTCGCTCTCTAAAGCTGCTCCCGCGGATGACGGACACGGAGATAAATAGGAACGGTGTGTCGTGAGAGGTGGTCCACAAGCACTTGCCCTCCTTCGCCCGTCTTTGACCCCGCTGAGGAGACTGTTCTGCTTCTGGCTCTTGGAGCAGGCCGGCTGACAGCGTAGTGAAGGAAGATTCCTGCGGGAGGGCGGCCAGTGTAAAACGATTCCCTGACCGGGAATCGAACCCGGGCCGCAGCGGTGAAAGCGCCGAATCCTAGCCACTAGACCACCAGGGACACACAGGAGGGAGCTTTCTCTCCCTTCTTCCGTCAGAAGCCACAGCTTCCCTGAGCTCTGGGAGGACTTGGGCCTTGTGAGGGTCGCTCTTTGCTCCTGGAGTCTCTCACAAGGCCATTCCCTCCCTGCTTTCTTCAAAAAAAGAGCCTGCAGGCGACACACCGAGGGCTCCGCGAGGGACACCAAGGCCACGAGTCCCGAGTCCTGGAGCGAGTTACAGCGACCCGGCCGCAGCTCACCACTGGACTAGAGATGCGCCTTTGCGAGGTGGCAGCAAGTGACCAGCCGGTCGTGGGTCGCCAGATCCGGAGCCGCGCACCAGGTTGCCAGGAGGAGGCGGGAGCGCGGAGGCGCCCGGGGTGAGACGGGGGCACCCTCTGCATCATAAAGGACCCAGACGCCAGCACCCTCAACGTCATAAGGAATAAGACGGATGCGGAAACCGAGGCGGGCTGGATGGGAAACTCTTTCCAGGAAGGCTCCGGGGCCCTCAGCTGGTCTCCGACCTTCCCCTGCAACCTGTGACACCTGCCATTTTCCCATCTTAGGCGATGGCAACGCCACCCTTCCGTTTGCTCCGGGCAAAACTTCGAGAGTTCCCTCTGACTCTGGAGATTTTTCCTCACATCCAAGAGCCAACTGGTCATCAATTCGTGATTTCCCATCGGCTAAGTGCGTGGGCATTGAGCTACACGCGAGTCTCTCCACCTCTGCGGAATAGCTACTTCGGGGTAGGGGAGGGGCCCTCCCGTGGATTGTAAGGTGTTTAGCAGCAGCCGTCGCCTCCGCTGACTAGATACATGCCAGGGGGTTAGCATTCTCCCTCCCCGCTTCCCCCATTCGTGACCTAGTGTCCCAGCGGGGATGGGAGAGGCGTGTAAGGGCGAAGTTGCCCCCTCTTGAGAACCACTGATGCGCGTTGTCCTGCTGTCTGAGCTTGTGCAGAGGACTCTCCAGATGAAGGCTCAGGGGTCGATCCAGCTTGAGACCCCCTCGCTCCCCCGCACAGTCGGACCTTAGGATTGGAGATTTTTAACATCTCTGCGTCATGAGATTCGAAACCTTTAGGTCTTTTCTTCCGTTCTGTCCTCCAAATCGGCCTCTTCCGAGCCTGTTGACCAGGGCCAGCCAGGCAGAGGGCTGGGTTTGCTCAACGAGGCTCCTCTCGGCCCTCCTGGAGCTTCAGGCCTCTTTCGGTTGCAGAGAAGCTTTATGGGTCACTTCCTTCGGCATCCCCGGGGGCAGGTGCGCGGTGCCCCTGGAAGAAGAGGGTTTGACCGCGGTTCTCGACCCCGGCGCCCAACTTCCATCTCGGTGCGCGCGCTCTTCCAGGCTCCTGGTGGTCCCACTCGCCAGGAGTTAGGTGTCGGGTCAGCCTGAGTTCCCGAGACGCCCAGGCCCGGAAGGACAAGTAGGGGAAACCAGCTGCTCACTTTGGTCTTGTCCGCAACGGACCCCTTTCTGCCGGGAAAGAAAGGCGGCGAGTCCTGTCCTGTTGGGTAGGTGGAAGAGAGATCAAAGGGAAGACAAGAAAAATCCTGGGAGGTTTCCGGATCTAAAGTTACCATGAAGTCGACCTAACCTCCTCTGGAGGTCCTCCCAGTCCTCCCGTGGCTGGCGATGGTGAATCGAGTTTACGTCTCCAGTTTGCCAAGGCGGACAAAGCCGACACAATGGGCCTGTCCACTATCTTCTTTCATATACACAAAATGTCAGCTCTTCCTGTTTCTGACTGGCAATATCCCGCCTGATGACCAGCTTAGCAAATTAGAGACCCTGCACGGGACTTCATCTCTGTCTTAGTTCGGGCTTCTATAACAATGTACCATAAACTGGGTGGCTGATTCACAACAGAAATTGATTTCTCACAGTTCTGGAGGTTGGAAGTCCGAGATCAAGGTGCCGACGTGGTAGGGTTACAGTGAGGACCTTTGGTCTGGTTGTAGACTGCCACCTTCTCATTGTATCCTCAGGGGGCAGAAAGAGGGCGAGAGAGCTCCCCAGGGTCCCTTTTATAAGGGCATTAGTCCCATTCAGACTAATGGGACTAAATCCAGACTCTTTGCTGAGTGTTGTGGATTTTTTGCATGTTCATCCTCCCTGCAGGCAACTGGAGATGTATTGTCCCCAGAGGGTACAATAGAGAATCTTCCGTCACAAGTCAGCAACCAGCATATGTGAGTGACAGCATGTGTCCCACTCAGAAATGAGAGTGTATTAGTCCGTTTTCATGCTGCTGACAAATACATAACAGAGTCCAGGACCAAAAAGAGGTTTAATTGGACTTACATTTCCATATGACTGGGGAGGCCTCAGAATCATGGCGGGAGGCAAAAGGCACTTCTTACAAGGCAGCAGCAAGAGAAAATGAGGAAGAAGCCAAAGCAGAACCCCCTGAGAAACCCATCAGATAGTGAGACTTACTCGATATCAGGAGAATAGCACAGGAAAGACCCGCCCCCATGATTCAATTACCTCCTCCTAAGTCCCTCCCACAACACATGGGAATTCTGGGAGATACAATTCAAGTTGAGATTTGGGTGAGGGCACGGCCAAACCATGTCAGAAAGGGATGAAGTGACAGCATATCCTGATGTGTGTGATGGTTTCATGAGTTATTATCTATTTCAAAATTTATTGCAATGTGTGGAAAAGAACAAGGACTTGTACTATCTGACTTTAAGGTTTACTATAAGCTATTAGACACAAGGCATCAGGAGTGACAAACGGATAAACAGCCTGAGTTAGAAGACCTGAAATTGATCCACAGCTATACGGTCAATAAATGGGTTTTCAATAAAAGCAGTTCAATAAAAGAAAATAAGTCATTTCAATTAATGAACTTCTATATGGATGTGGGGAGACCAACAATGTTATTCTCCCTCACACTACACACAAAAGTAATTTCAGCCGCATTACTTAAAAGTTAAAGATATAAAGCATTTCAAGGATACTTTGTGACTTGTTGGCAGGCAAAGATTAGCCTACCAACAAGCAGGACACAGAAAAAATACATATATAAGAAAGACATGATAAATGAGACTTCATCAACATTAGCCACACCTTCTCATCAAAAGATACCACTAAGAAAGCGAAAAGGCAAGCAAGCCACAGAAAGAGAGAAAATACCCACAAAACGTATCTGACCTCCACACCCTGCAATTATAATTATAGTGGTCTGGTACACTGCACCCAGTTTCTGCTGGATGGAGTATGTTCTGGGTGTCTCTAATGAGTAAGAGAGGGCCCCATGGGATATTCCTTCAGTTCCCAGATGAACAGTGGGAAAGACTCCACATTGACCAACCTCGGGGGCCTGAAAACCCAGGTCCTCAAGGAGGGTAGAGTATACCTGGACCCTGACCCAGACCCCTGGATGGGCTGTGCCAAGAGACCCAGCAAGGGAAGGGATTTCCTCCTGCCTCAGGTTCTCTGTTCTTCTGTGGTTAGGCCACCTGAACCCAACTCCCTCCCCAAGCACTAGAGATGGGCTTTTCCAAGGGCTGGGGATCTTGCTGTCCTGAGGACAGCTGAGCAAGGGGGTCGAGGAGGAGCTTGGGTTGTGGAGGAGAGGAAACCGGGTAAGATGCATGAAGCAGTTGGCTATACCAGGCACAGAGAGGACCCGCTGGGACCCAAGAGCCTGCATGTGAAGCCAAGCCTTGGGCCACCTTGTCTGTCAAGGGGGTGCCTACTTCCATGGTGTCTTCAAAGGGACTGTGGAAAGAGAGGCCTTCAGCCCACACCTCTGAATGCTTTTCCACCACAGCATGCCCTGTGGCCTTTATCCTGCTGGTGTGGAACAGTCAGACCCCTGCAGGGCTGCAGAGCCTCTGTACTGGGCGGCATCCCAGCCTGAGTGCCAGAGCTCAGAGGGCAGGCCCCCGAGCAAGCAGAGAGGAGGGCACCTTTTGGACAGAACGTGTGGGACAAGAGCGATGGCTCATCCGTTCAGGTTCCTCACAGAATGAGAGTCAGGAAGATCAGGGCGCCGGCCTGATTTCCCAGGCAGGGCTGAAAGCAGACAACCGGAGGGAGAGCAGCACCTGGGCCAATGAGGTAGAAGACAGAAGACCACAGTGTACTCCTGCCCTCAACCTCACCCCCTCCCACCCACATCCTCCACACTCCCTGACCACCTTCCTCAGAAGTGTAATAGGAATCCAGATTCCCCCTGGCCTGGTTGCTGCAGGAGGCACAGTAGCCTGATGGAGCCTGAGGCAGGTGTGGGAAGATGTGGATTGTCTAACTGGAGGTTGGGAGTCCAGGGTGTAGAAGCAGCTTGGAGTGCAGGATTTGGTGGTACGTGTGTGGCAGTAGGCAAAAGAAAGAGACAACTGGCCGGGCGCGGTGGCTCACGCCTGTAATCCCAACACTTTGGGAGACCGAGGCGGGCGGATCACGAGGTCAGATGAAGACCACGGTAAAACCTCGTCTCTACTAAAAATACAAAAAAGTAGCCGGGCGTGGTGGCGGGTGCCTGTAGTCCCAGCTACTGGGGAGGCAGAGGCAGGAGAATGGCGTGAACCCGGGAGGCGGAGCTTGCAGTGATCTGAGATCGCGCCACTGCACTCCAGCCACTGCACTCCAGCCTGGGTGACAGAGCAAGACTCTGACTCAAAAAAAAAGAAAAGAAAAGAAAGAGACAACTGAGCCACTTGAAATACCATGAGAATTCAAATTCAGAAAATTCCCGGGGAACTATGCGTGCAGGCACTCACCAGATCCACAAAACAGCTGCTGCATAACTGCATGTTGCAAGCAAGCCCTAAATTGCTGATTTTGAAACAGCCTGATGGGTTCACAAAGACAATTTCTGAATAGTCTTAAGAGCAGAGGTGCACTAAAGCCACTGTGCCCTGCAGGCCGAGATCCCAGTAAGTTCTTCAAGGAGTAAGTCTTACTTCCATTTATGGAAGATTTTTGGAGTTGTCCTTGGTCACCCCCAGGAATGTTTTGGTTAGGAGTAGAATTTTAGATGTCATCAATTTAAAAATTAAAACTAAAACGCTGGAACTCATAGAGAGATAAAATTAAGAGAATACATTCACTATCCTGAGTAGAAAGATTTCTTATAGAACATAACAAGCTTTAAAAATAAAGAAAAAATATGGCAAAATTTCATCAAATTAAATGCTTTGAGAACTAAAATTAAAATCCAAAGCCACTCAACCAACTGGACAGACTGCTTCTTGGCCAAGGAGACCCCAGAGAAGTCTTAAATACTGAGTTCCTGCCCAGTAGTTGGAATCTCAGACACCTCTCCTTATACTCTCTCCCTTTGTGGTTTAGACACAACTGACCAGCATTATTGTTAAAATAGAGATCCTAAGGCTGACAGAACAGACTCCTTGCAGTAGGAAGATACGGTATGATAAACGAGACCTAAGGCCACGCCAGGCAAGGTGGAGTCATGCGCCCCTCAACTTAAAGAGTAAACTATGTTCCAATTGCCACAGGTTTTTTTCTTCTTCCTTTTTTTCTCTAGCTAAGCAAGCACTGGCCTTGAGATAAGCAATGCTGAAGCACTTGCAGCTCACCCATTACCATAAACTGACTGAGCCCTCCCTACACAAGCCATAACTACAGCTTTGATTGGACAAGGGACTGATTTCAGTAACTTCCCCTTGATAAGAGAGCACTGGCTGTGGACGGGTTCTGGACGGTTTACAGAGGCTGTACACTTGACTGCCTTTGTGCCCCTGCTTCCCCTTTTGAAGCATAGGGCCTAATTATAACGTATTTAAATGTTGTCTCCACTCCAAAGTGAACATGGGTTGCATGTAACAGGCATGTTTACTCAGCATGCATGCAGCAGGATCCCTTCATGAATATTCAGAGCTCCTCCTATTCCCTGTTGAATATGTATATGTGGCCCACCACATCAACATAAATCCCTGTTCCCCCCTCCCCTCCCTGGAAACGTACTTTTCAGGTTTCAGCAGCAAGAGGGTATGCCTCCCTGTCTGTCGGAATGGCCACCTTGCAGGCTGTAACCATTTATAAAAAATAAAATCTCCCTTCTAAATTTATAAATTGTGTGATTTTTCAGTTGACAGCTTTCAGTCAGACTTTTCACTGACTGGGAAAATTCATTTGCAATATATTTATTTTAAAAATGACTCCTCAGCATACAAAATTCTTGTGCAAAGATCACAAGCATTCTTATACACCAATAACAGACAAACAGAGAGCCAAATCATGAGTGAACTCCCATTCACAATTGCTTCAAAGAGAATAAAATACCTAGGAATCCAACTTACAAGGGATGTGAAGGACCTCTTCAAGGAGAACTACAAAACACTGCTCAACAAAATAAAAGAGGATACAAACAAATGGAAGAACATTCCACGCTCATGGGTAGGAAGAATCACTATCAGGAAAATGGTCATACTGCCCAAGGTAATTTATAGATTCCATGCCATCCCCATCAAGCTACCAATGACTTTCTTCACAGAATTGGAAAAAACTACTTTAAAGTTCATATGGAACCAAAAGAGAGCCCGCATCGCCATGTCAATCCTAAGCCAAAAGAACAAAGCTGGAGGCATCACGCTACCTGACTTCAAACTATACTACAAGGCTACAGTAACCAAAACAGCATGGTACTGGTACCAAAACAGAGATATAGACCAATGGAGGAGAACAGAGCCCTCAGAAATAATGCCACACATCTACAACTATCTGATCTTTGACAAACCTGACAAAAACAAGAAATGGGGAAAGGATTCCCTATTTAATAAATGGTGCTGGGAAAACTGGCTAGCCATATGTTGAAAGCTGAAACTGGATCCTTTCCTTACACCTTATACAAAAATTAATTCAAGATGGATTAAAGACTTAAATGTCAGACCTAAAACCATAAAAAGCCTAGAAGAAAACCTAGGCAATACCATTCAGGACATAGGCATGGGCAAGTACTTCATGTCTAAAACACCGAAAGCAATGGCAACAAAAGCCAAAATTGACAAATGGGATCTAATTAAACTTAAGGGCTTCTGCACAGCAAAAGAAACTGTCATTAGAGTGAACAGGCAACCTACAGAATGGGAGAAAATTTTTGCAATCTACTCATCTGTAGTTTCATCAGAATCTACAAAGAACTCAAACAAATTTACAAGAAAAGAACAAACAACCCCATCAACAAGTGGGCGAAGGATATGAACAGACACTTCTCAAAAGAAGACATTTATGCAGCCAAAAGATACATGAAAAAATCCTCATCATCAGTGGCCATCAGGGAAATGCAAATCAAAACCACAGTGAGATACCATCTCACACCTGTTAGAATGGTGATCATTAAAAAGTCAGGAAGCAACAGGTGTTGGGGAGGATGTGGAGAAATAGGAACACTTTTACACTGTTGGTGGGAATGTAAACTAGTTCAACCATTGTGGAAGTCAGTATGGTGATTCCTCAGGGATCTAGAACTAGAAATACCATTTGACCCAGCCATCCCATTACTGGGTATATACCCAAAGGATTATAAATCACGCTGCTATAAAGACACATGCACACGTATGTTTATTGCGGCACTATTCACAATAGCATAGACTTGGAACCAACCCAAATGTCCCACAATGATAGACTGGATTAAGAAAATGTGGCACATATACACCAGGGAATACTATGCAGCCATAAAAAATGATGAGTTCATGTCCTTTGTAGGGACAGGGATGAAGCTGGAAACCATCATTCTCAGCAAACTATCGCAAGGACAAAAAACCAAACGCCGCATGTTCTCACTCATAGGTGGGAATTCAACAATGAGAACACTTGGACACAGGAAGGGGAACATCACACACCGGGGACTGTTGTGGGGTGGGGGGAGGGGGAGGGATAGCATCAGGAGATATACCTAATGTAAATGACGAGTTAATGGGTGCAGCACACCAACATGGCACATGTATACATATGTAACAAACCTGCACGTTGTGCACATGTACCTTAAAACTTAAAGTATAATTTAAAAAACGTCAAAACAAGACTCAATTCTTGAATATATAAGAGAACTTTTGTAAGTCAGTAATATAGAGCTAAGCCAAATAAAATAGGGCAAAATATTTGAATAGTCCTTTGCAAAGGAGAGTTTCTTATATGCTGGAAGCCATAAGAAAATATGCTTCATAGGATTGCTCATTAGGCAAATACAAATTAATTCCACACTGAGATAGCACTAACCACTCACCAGTGTATGGCTACTTTTTTTTTTTTTCTGAGACAGGGTCTCATTCTGTCACGCAAGCTGGAGTGCAATGGTGCGATCTTGACTCACTGCAACATCCCCCTCCGGAGTAGCTGGGACTACAGGTGCATGCCACCATGCCCAGCTAATTTTTGTATTTTGAGTAGAGACAGGGTTTTGCCATGTTGGCCAGCCTGGTCTGAGAGCATAGCTACATTTAACAAAGTTAGTACACCAAATGCTGACAAGAATTTGGTGCCACTTCAACTGTCATCGCTGGCGAAAAAGCATTCTAGAAGACTGGCAATTTATACTGATGTTAAACTTATACTCAGGTCATGACCCAGCAATTGAAGGACTTCCATGAATCTCAAGTGCACACAAAGACTGTTATAAGAATATTCAGCACAAGAAATCAATAACCCCAAAATTGAGAAGTGATCTATGAAACTACGTGGATATATCTCATGAGTATAATGAATGTAACTGGAGAAAAAGGCCAGACACAAAACATATGTACATTCATTCATGTGAACTTTAAGAACAGGCAATTGTAACCTGTGGGAATAGACATCAGAATAGTGATAACTAAGAGGACACAGGGTGGGAATCACCTGGACAGGGGCTCTAACAGGCCTTTCTCAGATGATGGCAATTTTCTATAACTTGAGCTGGGTGGTGATAACATTGATCAAAACTAAACAAATTGCACTAAAGATTTGTGCACTTTATGTGAACTGTAGCTTCTTTACTGTTCTCATTGCTTGAACCTGGGAGACAGAGGTTGCAGTGAGCCGAGATTGAGCCACGGCACTCCAGCCTGGGTGACAGAACAAGACTACGTCTCAAAAAC
>NT_187369.1:0-41717 GCF_000001405.40 Homo sapiens
CTAAACACAAAAAGTTTAGCTGGGCATGATGGTGCATGCCTGTAATCTGAGCTACTTGGGAGGCGGAGACAGGAGAATCGCTTGAGTACCTGGGAGGCAGAGGTTGCAGTGAGCTGAGATCACACAATTGCACTCCAGACTGGGCAACGAGAGTGAAACTCCATCCCCCCAAAAACAAATAAATAAAAATAAAAGAATATCAAGCAGTCAAAGAAGCAGGAAAACATGACACATACTGAAGAATCTAATAATCTGGTTGAAATTGACACACACGTTGGAAATAGAAGAAAAGGACGTTACCGCAATTAGTATAATTGTATTTTAATTAAATGGAGAGGTTGAAGATTTTTTAAATATCAAATTCTGTAGATAAAAACTATGATTTACAGTGTGAAATGGAAGAAGGCACTGGATTAAATATTGCAGAAGAGAAGATTATTAAACTAGAAGGAATAGAAGTTGAAACTAACATAAATGAAACACACATTAACAAATGACTTGAAAACACATAAAGACCATCAGCATCAAAACTTTAAACACCCTAGTATAGGGCTAAATGGAATCCCTGAAGGGCAGGTAGTGGAGAAGAGAGACAAAGATATTTAAAACATACTGGATGAAAGATTTAGAAGCTCCATGGAAATCATAAACTTCAAATATTACAGAAATATGATTATCCCAAGAACAAGAAACATGCAGAAAACTTCAACAAGGAACACCTTAATCGAATCCATCAAAACCAGTGATAAAAAGGAAATCCTAAAAGTAATAAAAGGGAAAAGAACATGTTACATACAGAGCACTAAATATAAGGATGGCATAAGATTTCTCATAGGAAACTTTACAAACAAGAAGTTTGCAATAAAGTACTTAAAAAAAGAAAAACTGTCACCTACAAGTCTACACCTGGCCAAATTATCTTTCAAAAATAAACATGAGAAAAAATATTTTTGAACAGAAAACAAAATGATCTCAATTTGCAGATGGTGTGATCCTATGTATAGAAAATCCCAAACAATACATACAAAGGCAAACACACATACATGCACACAGACACCAGACACACACACACACACACACACACACACACACACACACACACTATCAGAGTTAATAAGTGAATTCAGCAAACTTTCAGCAAACAATCCATTGTGATGGCAATGAGCTATCTGAGAAGTAAACTGACACAATGATTTCATTTATAATAGCACCTGTAAGGATAATATGCCTGGGAATAAATTTGTTCAAGAAGGTGCAGTACTTGTACACAGACAACTACAGAACATTGCTCGAGGAGATTCAGGAAGACCTAAATCAATGGACAGACATCTTGTGTCCATGGGTTGGAAGTTGTAACATGGTTAAGATAAAAATACAACTCAAAGCAACCCACAGATTCAATACAATCCTATCAAAAAGTGGCCTTTTTTACAGGAATGCCTAACAAGAACTTCATATTCCTAAAAAATAGTGTGTCCCCCCAAAACAAAAGCAATCTTGAAATGCAAGAAGAAACATTTTCTATTCCAAAGGTCTTTAACTGCTCTAAGCAGTACTTGGTAGTCTTCAATATATAGGCTTTCACATCTCTTTTGTTCTTCTTTTGTTTCTGCACAGGATCTCACTCTTTCACCCAGGCTGGAGTACAGTGGCACAATCACAGCTCACTGCAGCATGGAATTCTCAGGCCTATGACATCCTAGGGCCTCATCCACTGATTCCTGGGACTACAGGCTCACACCACTAAACCCGCATAATTTTTCTGATTTTTCAGTAGAGATGAGGGCTCACTATGTTGCCTAGGCTAGTTTCAAGCTTCTGAGATCAAGCAACCCTCCTGCCACAGCCTTCCAAAGTGCTGGGATTTGAAGCCAAGCCTGGCTGGCTTTCACGTCTTTTCTATGTAGTTTATATTTCTGGATGCCATTGAGAGTCTGGCTGGCTTTCACATATTTGCTATGTCGTTTATATTTCTTGATGTTATTGTAAATGTTTATTAAAAGAATCTTTTAAAAACTTTGTTTTGGCCAGGCGCGGTGGTCCACGCCTGTAATCCTAGCACTTTAGGAGGCCGAGGTGGGTGGATCATGAGGTCAGAAGATCGAGACCATCCTGGCTAACACGGTGAAACCCCATCTCTACTAAAAATACAAAAAAAAAAAAAATTAGCCTGGCGTGGTGGCGGGCGCCGGTAGTCCCAGGTACTTGGGAGGCTGAGGCAGGAGAATGGCGTGAACCTGGGAGGTGGAGCTTGCAGTGAGTCAAGATGGTGCCACTGCACTCCAGCCTGGGAGACAGAGTGAGAGTCTGTCTCAAAAAAAAAAAAAAATTGTATTAAAATTATATATTTAAGGAATTACATATATATTTATATATATATATAATACATATCCTTAAATTATATATATTTAAGGAATACAACCTGAGGACTACATATACATATACATAATGAACTAATGCCTACTAGGTGAGGGGCTGCCTTGTGAGCAAACCCAAGGTCCCTGGCTTATGAAGCCTTTGTCTAGAAGGATGGAGGGATCAGCAAGTTGGGCACACAGCAGGTTCTGTCTTTGGTGTGGGCATCTGCCCACTCGGGTCTCTGGCAATACTAACCAGGCTTCACGATGGGTGAGGTGAGCTAGGAATGGGAAAGTGGATGACTTCAGATCCAGAGACTGCAGTTGTCACCTGAGGACCTGGCGTAGGCGTGGAGGGGTCTCCCACTCACTTGGCCCTGGGTCAATGCCCAAACATGCACAAGGACGGGACTCTCGGCCTCAATGCTTTAGGAGCCCCCAGTCTTCTAAAGAGGGTTTGTGGTGGGGAAGAATGTTCAACAAAACAGAAGAGTTATGGGTACTCTAGCTTGGCAACAGAGAATACTTCCTTGTGCTACTAAATGGCAATATTTGACAATTATGGATGACACAATTGAGCAACAGCTTTCACTGTTTAACAAGCAGGGTCTCTGGAACACTAGGTTAGTGCTGTCGGATGTTGACTGAAAAGTCAGTGGTTTGAGCCCATCCAGTCATATTAATGTTTCTAGCTGATGTGACCTTCCATCTGAAGAGTCTCTTCCTTGGACCAAATATCTCTTAAAGCTTCTCTTCTTCTTGTCTCTTGTCCATTCTCTAAGATGCCTCTTTGTTGCTTGGGGCAAAAAAAGTCCATTTTTAATCCACACCCAACAAACATCTACCCTTACGTATCCTGGTTTTTAGGGTTTTGAGTCTGTTGTTTGTTTTCTCAGCTTCTCATATTTGGAATACTGGAAATTCCTAAAGTGGAGAATGACAGAACATGAATCACACCTATGGTGAAGCCACAGGCCCTGGATGAAAAACCTAATCTGCCAGCGTTTGAAGTTAAACACATTAATCTTCTGTGCCTCCATTTCTATCTGTCCAATGGGCTAAATCAGAACACTTAGGTTGTCCAGTGTTTAAATGAGCAGTGCAGGAAAAGCCTGGAGCCAATGCCTGTCACGTAGTAATTGGTCAACACGCATGAGCTCCTATCAGCGCCATGGTCTCCAGCATTTCCATCAGGCTTTGATCTTTGAAATGTCCTTCTTGATATGAATGGATCATTCCTCAAACATTCTCTAACCGATGGCCATGAAATTGCTCCAATGTGTATTATTACAAATACAACTGCAGGGACCAGACTGACACATGTATCTGTCGTGCATCGCTTGTCTATTTCTCCGTAGACACCCGGAGATGGAATTGTCAGACCAAAGTATTTATACATGTTTGATTTTGCTAATTTCTGTCTAAATTACTGTGAAAAGAAAATATAACATGTCATACCTTTAACATTTTTTGAGAATTCTTTTTTTCTCCATCTTCTGGTCAAAACTGGGAAGTACTTGCCTACCATTTCCTCTGAACTCACTTTTGCCAACATTTGTGTAGTCATACAGTGGGATCACATTATATGCATGACATCAAACTCAAATCCTTAAATGAAAGCGATTAACATGACTGTGTAAAAATTTATCTTCAAAATACAATGAATACATATATACACACATACTTATATCGGAAAGGAATTATTTTATTTGGATACTTTATCAAAGTCATATATACTTGAAAATTTGTTTAGTAAAACAGCAGTCCCCTTGTGTACTCCCAGAGTTTCATCACATAGAAGCAATTATTTCGTTATTTATCTCCTTATGTCTAAATAGATATTATTACTTTTTGATTTTCAAGTTTAGGCACTACCTCTCCTTCACATACTTGCTCATCACCACCACCCCCAAACACGCCTCTCACCACCTTACCCTCCAACACGTTTGTGTCCTCGTTTGCTGGGTCAATTGCTACATTGTTATAACTTGTATATTTTATTCAGAGTTCAGTCACATTGGACATACATAGCAGGAATGAGAGGCCAGTATCTTCAGGGACTCTCTCTCAAGTGGATAAGCTTCAGAGATTTTTGTAATCTTTGGTCACTCTCCCCATCTTTTTCCTATTCCAGGTAAGTACTGGATCTGATGGGCCCAGCTCAGGTCAGGCACTCTCTCCTTGAGCAGTGGAGAGCGGGACATCTTCATGTGTAGTACCAGGAAGACACTGTCCAAAGAGGGACAGGTAGTTCTAAGACAGAAAAGTCTGTCTGGGGTACAGGTAGGCAAAACAAGGACACACACACAAAAATTAGTCTGTTCTGTGAGGGGAGCATGCAGTAGAGGGTGGATTCAGAGTGGGAGGGGAGAGTTTTGAGAGATATGGGCCATGGATATCACTCTGTGGGCCGGAGCCACACAAGACGGTTGGGGTCTCTCAGGGGCAGGGAGCTGAGGAGGATCTGCCCTCCCCAACCTGGGAGACTGGTGAGGGGACTGTCCTGGTCACCAGACAGAAATGGGGCCTGGGCCAGGGCAGTTCTGGTGGGAAAGAAAGAACAGGACATCTCCTTAAGGAAAGGTCCTGAGTCAGGTCTTGGCAGGGAGGGAGGTTACCTTGCCCATTGGCGGCTGAAGATGGTTGGCCAGATGAGGGCACTGAAATCCATGTCCTCTAAACTTGTAGTTCAGTAAAAGAATGACAGCAGTAAAGGGTCTTTAGGAAGAGGAGGTGGAAGACCTGATTTGGGTTGGGGGCTCCAAGAAGAATGTCTGCCTTGCTGTGCAGAAGCCTGCTACACAACCTCCCTGGTCCCCTTGCTCAGTCTCCTGGCCAGACCCCTGTGAGCCCTGGAAGTGCACAGTCAGCTTAGCCAAGGCATCTCCAGCCAGGACTCATCCCTGGGCATTTCTGTGGCCTTGGGTGCCCTGGCCTCCAGGCCCTGTCTTGCAGGCAATCGTCCTGCAAGCGAAGGGGGAAGGGAGGCTACTTGACAGTTAACTCTGAGTGGCTCCACAAGGTCCTGACTTAGCTCCTAGTCACTTGCAAGCCTATATACCCCCATCTCATCCCCCAAACGATGAAAAGAAACTTTGCAGGACTCATGCCAGACAAATAGGGTGGGACCATTCTGTAGAGCCAAGTTCTCAGGACATCAATAAGAGATGGAAACCACCTGCTGGAAGGTGCCACAGTGGGAACCTTGGGGTCAGGGAGCAGTCACTGAACTGTCAGGGTGAATCCTGGCTCCTGGCCCTCACACACCCTTTCTCCCCCTCCCTCCTTCTCTCCTCCCTCCTGTCTGCTCTTTCCCCTCTCTCTCCTGAATCCCTCAGGTACCTTCCCATGGGCCCTCACCCGTCCTTTTCAGAGGCTCCAAAGTGAGCCCTCAAAACACTTGGTAACCTTGGGCATTTCCAAAACTGGAGAGACTTGACCACAGCATTTTTATGAGCTAGGAAAGTCCTCCAGAGCTCTTGCCTAAATTTTTCTGCTGATGAGAAGAGAACAAGAGTTTCCATCTGATCTGGTCCTAAGGCAACTTCTCTTTGGAGCAGAGTCTGGGCAGGAAGAAGGGGGTTGCCCAGGGCCCCGGACTTGCCCCTCCCAGCTGCTCTGCTCCTCTCCCCTTCACTGCGGGAGGCTGGCCAGGGATCAGGAGCCTCTGTTCTCCACAGATGCTGGGATTCCAGGCTCAAATCTAAATATTGGCTGATTTAGGAGGCTAAGGGAGGCAATTCCCTGGAGGGAGGTGTCAGGATTTGGGACAAGAGCAGCATCTAGTTGTCATCCACAGAGACCCCAAGAACAGAAATCCACTGGTAGCCGGTTGGAGGGGATCCCATGAAAACAAGATGAAACGCGCGCATTAGTACCGGACCCAAGATCAGGAGATGAAAAACTGCACTGTCCTAAGGGATGAAAGAATTAGGGAATCCTGGAAGTAAAATTTTTCATATAGGTCATTTCTTCCAAAGAGACATAGGGCAATGGCCCAATGACGTGAACAAAAGAAAACTCGGGGTCTAGGATTGAGGGGAGGCAGCATTTTTAGTGGAGACCTGTGACCTGGAGGCCCAGGGTCACCCTGAGAGGGGAGGGGTCTTGCTGGTCGCTGGGTCCGGGACTCCAATTGCATACAGCCAGTGGCATGGAGGGTCTGTGACCACGATTGGGCAATTTCCCCCATTCTGCTTATGGAGCAATAGAGAGGAACCTCACTGGAATTATACAGAAAGGTACCAGTGAGACTTGAACTCTGATCACTGAATTCAGAGTCCAAAGTGCTCACCATGGAACCTCACACTAGCTTATAACTGGAGGTAACTGAGTTCATACTTAGCAGCCATAGTTCCCACACACCTATGTTAAGGCATTTCTTCTGATCCCTCAAGCAACACCAAAGAAGGTGGACCTGCGAGAGAGGAGTCATCCTCTTTCTTTCTCTCTGCCCTCTCCTTTGATCAACTTTTATCATTTCATTTGCACCTCAGAAAATGAGGCAAAATCCAGTTTGGGCTTAGGGCCAGAGAAGAGCCCCTGAGGCCTCCCTCTGGAAAACATACTCTCTCAGTTTACCAGAGTTTCCTGTACCAAGGGGAAATTTCCGCAAACAGTAGTGTTATATTCTTTTTGCCTTCCCTCTTTTCCCTTTGCCCAGGGAGGCCAGATGATTGTGAGAACAGGACTTGGGACTTCTTGGGTGTCTTGCCCCCTTCCTCCATGTGATAAATAATGGCTGACACCAAGCAAGTGGGATTGGGAGGCAGGGAATCTTTCATTTTCTTCTTCATATACTTCTATGCATTTGTTTGGTTGGTTTTGGCAAGATTTTCTCACCAGAAATGGAGATTTGTTGGATTTAAAATAAAAAGTAATCAGCCATGTTTTACATTTCTATAAAACACTCAAACCAGGCCATACTCCCCTGCTGTGCCTCAAAATCAACCATAAACTGTCGAGGTCAGGAGGCAGGGCCCTGACACTTAAGCACAGTGTGTTTCCTCAGAATTGGCCAAGTTGATGCCACTCCAATTTCTCAATATACCACAACCCATTAATTGCGGTTTTTTAAAGGGTACATGTATTTTTACCAAAACCACAGGGCTTCAGTGTTCTCAGCACACAGAAAGCCAATCATTGAGACATTGAGTATTGCTGAGGAAGAAGGCTTTAATCAGGTGCTGCAGCTGAGTAGACAGGAGATGAGTCTCAAATCTGTCTCCCTGATTGACTAAAGTTAGGGGTTTATATAGCGCAGAAGAAAAGTTAACTGTGTGTGGGAAAAGAGGAACTAGGGAGGGCTGAGGAAGCACTCGTGATGAGTGAGGGGACTGGCATCTCATTGTCTGGATGCTGTGATTGGCTGAGTTTCAGGTCTCTGATGCTTTTTGAGAGGCCTGAGAGTCCTTTCCTGAGGAAGGAACTCAGATAAAACAAATATAAGTTTGTTTTATAGAATGGCTTGACCACAGGAGTTTGAAACCAGCCTGGGCAATATGGTGAAACCCTGTCTCTACCAAAATACAAAAAGAAAAAGAGGGTTGCTTCTAAGATGGCTGAATAGGAACAGCTCCGGTCTACAGCTTCAGGTGAGATAGACACAGAAGACAGGTGATTTCTGCATTTCCAACTGAGGTACCTGGTTCATCTCACTGGGACTTGTTGGACAGTGGATGCAGCCCACGGAGGATGAGCCAAAGCAGGGTGGGGTGTCGCCTCACCCGGGAAGTGCAAGGGGTTGGGGGATTTCTTTTTCCTAGCCAAGGGAAGCTGTGAGTGACTGTACCTCGAGGAGCAGTACACCCCTGCCCAAATACTGTGTTTTCCACTGTCTTTGCAACCGACAGAACAGGAGATTCCCTCTTGTGCCTGGCTCGGCAGGTCCCATGCCCATGGAGCCTTGCCTGCTGCTAGCACAGCAGTCTGAGATCAACCTGTGACACTGGAGCATGGCAGGGGGAGGGGGTTCTGCCACTGCTGAGGCTTGAGTATGTGGTTCTATGGTCACAGTGTAAATAAAGTGGTAGGGAAGCTCGAACTGGGTAGAGCCCACTGCAGCTCAGCAAGGCCTACTGCCTCTAGATTCTACCTCTGGGGGCAGGGCATATCTGAATAAAAGGCAGCAGACAGCTTCTGCAGACTTAAACGTCCCTGCCTGACAGCAGGGACTGCTGTCATAATCATTATGATTATGAATCATAATCATGAAGACAATCTGTATTCCAGAATAGTAAGGGAACCTATTCCATCAGGGAGCCAACTGAAAACATCAAATCCCAGTTCACACCCCAGGGTGTGGTGTCATGCACCTGTAGTCCCAGCTACTTGGGAGGATTAGTAAGGAGGTTTGCTTGAATTCATGAGGTCAAGGCAGAAGTAAACCCTGATCATGCCACTGTACTCCAACCTGGGCGACAGTGAGACCTTGTCTCAGAAACAAACAAACAAACAAAAAACCCCACAAAACCAAACAACAACAAATTGTCACCTCATTCTGAAATGACAGTGGCAAACATCACTTTGCTATTTGAAAATTAAAAGAAGCCGGGCGCGGTGGCTCACGCCTGTAATCCCAGCACTTTGGGAGGCCGAGGTGGGCGGATCACAAGGTCAGGAGATCGAGACCATCCTGGCTAACAGAGTGAAACCCCAACTCTACTAAAAATACAAAAAATTAGCTGGACGTGGTGGCGGGTGCCTGTAATCCCAGCTACTGGGGAGGCTGAGGCAGGAGAATGGTGTGAACCCGGGAGGCGGAGCTTGCAGTGAGCCGAGATAGCCCCACTGCACTCCAGCCTGAGCGAAGAGCGCGAGACTCCGTCTCAAAAAAAAAAAAAAAAAAAAAAAAGGAAATTAAAAGAAAAACACTCCCTCTTGCTATCAACCTGCCCTCTTGCTCTAACTTGTCTGACCCATGGTTTAAAATGCCCAAAAGCTGAAGTACTCAAATTATAGTACACTTACCTGCTCTGCACCAGCATTTACTTTTGTCTGGAGGAGATCACCATGCATGGTCCTATAAATGTCTAACGGCATGGAATGATGAAGGGCAGTGTCTTTTAGGATAGTTGGATATATATATATATATGCGGAATGCTACATCACAAGGATAAGGATGTGAAAAGAACCAGTTTCTTTTGTAATCCTAAATGTTCTAGTCTGAGAATTAAAAGCCATTGTTCGAAGAAGGGTGCCCAGGGTCCAGCTGGTCGCCGAAAGCTTGCTCCGCAATACAGGCTAAGGACCAGCTTCTTTGGGAGAGAACAGATGAGGGAAGCAGGAGAGAAAAAAGGGAGAGGCAGACGTCACTTCCCCTTGCCGGCTCCAGCAGCGGGTTGGTCGGCTGAGCGGCAGAAAGGCAGACGGGGACTGGGAAAGGCACTGTCGGTGACATCACAGATAGGGCGACTTCTATGTAGATGAGCCAGCGCAGGGGCTGCTGCTTCACCACGAAGGAGTTCCCGTGCCGTGGGAGCGGGTTCAGGACCGCTGGTCGGACCTGAGAGTCCCAGCTGTGTGTCAGGGCTAGGAGTCCCATTGAGCAGTCTTGATCCTGTATTAGCCCCAGGAAATGAAATAGAAACAGGACCCTACGTTAAAAAGTTGCAGTGGAGATGTGGTGGCCACCAGGGGCTGGAACTGTGGGGTGACTGAGAGTATCCAAAGCCCTGTGGCCAACTTACTGGTGCTGAGTGTGCTGGTGAGCCTCTCTGTCAGCTGGCTTCCCTGGGCCAGTTGCTCCCGGAAGCTCTGTCCCAGGTAGTAGTCAATGTCATTGCTCCTTAGGAGATCCTCAAAAGATTTTACTGTATCTTTTGCATGCTGGGTGAGAAGATAACAAACACCTCTCCCTTCTCCTATTTTTTGCCGTAGGTAAGACAGTTCCCGGGCCTGATCCTGAATCAGGGAATCATATTTCCTAATGCAGGACAGAAGAGGAAAGGGTGGATGATAAGTTATGGGGCTTCTGTAGAGATTTCTATGAGAACATCTCTAAGGAACTCCCCCAAACTGAATTCTGGCACATAAGCCATAGGAGGCATTTAACAGTAAATTCTACCCTGATAAAGTATTGCACTAAAAAATTTAGTATGGGCCGGGCGTGGTGGCTCATGCCTATAATCCCAGCACTTTGGGAGGCTGAGGCAGGCAGATCACAAGGTCAAGAGTTCAAGACAAGCCTGGCCAATATGGTGAAACCCCTCCTCTACTAAAAACACACACAAAAATTAGCTGGGCATGGTGGCGCATGCCTGTAATCCCAGCTACTTGGGAGGCTGAGGGAGGAGAATTGCTTGAACCTGGGAGGTAGAGGTTGCAGTGAGCCGAGATGGCACCACTGCACTCCAGCCTGGGTGACAGAGTGAGACTCTGTATCAAAACAAAACAAAACAAAAATTTACCATGCCACTGTTCTTCAACTGTTATATATATGTTAATTATATGTCCCTAGATAAATTTTTTGGGAGCTGGGCCTCCAGCTGGGATACTCTCTGGATGAGACTCTTCAGGTCCTTTTTGGCCTGAAGTCCTGGAGAGTAGAAAGCCCCAGTGCCATCAGACAGCCACAACTCATCCTCATCAGTGACACTATGAGGTGAAGACCCCTCCAGGGTGTCAGGAGCTCTCAGCTTCCAGGGTCTTTCCAGACTAGAAGAATAATCACTTGTAACTGAGAGGGACTGGACCCGGCTCTTGAAGTTTTGAATGACCTTGTTGGCATTCTGCAGCTGGGCCTTCAGATCTTTGATGTCCTTTCATAGGACCCAGATGTTTTCTGACTTTCCATATACCCAGAACTCTTCCTGCTTCCCTAGTTCATTCTCCAAGGGCTTCCTCTCAGAGGAACTAGCCAGCGTTCCGCCCCGGCGCCCCTGCTCAGAGCACAGCCCCTCCATCAGGACCATTTCCTTGCGGCTGTTGTGCTCCTCACGCTCTGAAAAAAGACAAAGATGTCTTCCTAATTAAAAGTTGGATGTGCTGTTGTGGCCACTGCCTTTGAGAGGAGGCAGGTTTGGTCATGAGGACAATAATTACTAGGGAAAAAGGTGAAGTCGTACTTTATTCAACCCTGACACTGTGCTAGGCATTCAAATACAGTATTTCTTATCCTCCTTATACCCATAAGTTAGGTTTCACCACTCTCTATTTTACTGACTGGGGAAACCAAAACTTAAAGAGAGGTAGTAAACCAGCTTGTTCTAGATCACTCAAACTAGCACATGGCAGAGCCTGAATTCAAATCCTCCAACGTCCTGTGTTCATTCCACACACACTGATGTTTCTCAAGACATTAACATGCCCTTATCTAGTTAGGATAGCCACAAGAATGTAGGACAAGCTATTTCTGCATGCTGCAAGTTTAATGCTCTCTAAAGTTTACTATAATTTAAAAGTTTATTGGGTTACCACTGTGTGAAAAATAGGCATAGGAAAATAAGACTTCGAATAAATATATCAGCATGTTAACATCAGTGTATTGGGGCAGTGGTAGTCAGAATGAGAACTAATCCACAGCATTTTACCTGATGCCAGACACTGTTCTAAAGCATTTTATAAGAATTTACTCATTTAATTCACATTAGTACCTGATGGGGTAGGTAGTTCCTTTATTACTATTTTAACATATGAAGAAACTGGGGCATAGGAAAGCTTACAAATTGGGATTTGAACCAACCAGTCTGGCCCCAGGATCTTTTCTCTTAACTGCCACACTACACTTCCTCAAGAATGAGAGAGACTGTGTTTTTCTTCTCTTCTGGTTTTCAATGTGGTGGGTGGCCCTATGGTTGTAGTCCTTTTATAATGCAAAACAAAATTATTTTTAACTTACAGTTTGCATGTTTCCAAAACCTCATGTGGTCTCTAAGTAGGCCTTAGTATTTCTATAATAATCAGTTGGCTAGAACTTTATATTATTATTATTATTATTATTATTATTAGCAGTGTGCCACAAACTAATTGTAGAAATTCAAACTTATACGCAGCCTCATTTTGGGTAAGAGTTCTCCTATTAACCTCCTGTCCTCCTCTTCCCCACTACTTGTCAGGTGTGGAATTGGCCAACAGCACCCAAATGTGACAGCTGACTCCAGGGAGGGAAGGTGAGCCCCACACCCTGTGCTCTTACCGGGACTGGTGGTTTCCTCCTGTTCAGCCTCATTCTTGCTTTGGCCACAAGTCTCGTGGCCCAGGTCCTGGAGGTCCACCTGGACCTGTTTACTGTCCTGCTTCAGCAAGGGTTCACCTGCGTGGGAAGAGACAGCAGGTGTTACAGAATGTCTGAATTTCCCACATATGCCCTCAGCCTCAATGGCACATACCCTAACCTTGTGGGGCAGGGAGGGCAGATCCACAGTACGAGAGAAGCTTCTTTGAACTGGTGGGAGAAGAGACCACCAGCTCCAGGAAGCAGAATTTCTTTCCACAGGAGGAGCCTGCATTTGCCATTGATAATCTCCCCTTCAGATAACCTAGGCCTTAGTTGGGACAAGGTATCTGTAAGTCAGGGATTGTGTACTCTCATCTCTAGCAGCCCCATTGAAGCTGGCAAGTGCTTTATCAGCAGGGGTTCAATAAATGTTGAATGGAGCTGAACTAATTTAGAGTCCCAAGACACCTAGACCTGCACTGTCCAATAAGGTAGTTAGTAGCCACATATGGCCACTTTATACTAAATTAACTAAAATTAAATAAAACCAAATGTCCAAGTTGCACTAGCCACACTTCATGTGCTCAATAACCACATTATGTCTGTATAGAACATACAGAGCTTATAAGACGTACAGGCTAGTTCTTTACTAGTAAGTCATAGTTACCTACTAAGTATAACTCTCTATTTCTCCAGCTCGTTCGCCTGAGCAAAGACAGTGGCTTCTGATAGCAGCAGCTTCTCCTGGAGATCTTGATAGCGTTGTTTGCATTGTGACAGCTGGGAGCGCGGGTGCTGGGTGGACCCTGGTGGGCTAAATGCTGATTGGGCCCAGTGTCACAAGGCTGGGACTGGTTCTCCAACTGTGAAAGGGGCCAAGACAAGGATCAGGACAGTCCGAGGCCACCCCCATGCAGTGATGACCATGGCCCGTTGTGAACCCCGTGGACTTTACTCAAGTCTGTCACAGCACTTCTCATGCCTTTTGGCAGTGACTTGCTTTCCGGATGGAGCTCCTGGAGTGCTGGGATAATGTTTTCCTCATATCTGTATCCACAGCACACAGCACAGCGCCAATCAAGTCTACAGAGGAGCTCTTAGGAAACGTTTTCTCAGTGGTCAACAAGAGAAGGGGTGGAACCCTCCACTCATCTCCCCTCACATTCTGTGCCATCGATTCTCTCAGAATCCCCTGTATTCCCCATTTTACTGAATCTTCAGCATGGCTCCTCCCCTAAACAGGATCCCAATAACCCATCTGAGGTCCAGGAACAGACACCTGTGATGAGCTGTGACCAAAAAAAAAAAAAAAATGGCATTGATAAGGAAGGGATGTCATTACATACTACTTGTCTGGGCTGCCTCATAACCTGATGCATCCCTATGTTACAGCAGTTACCCCCTCCTATTAAAATTACCTGTTTATGTGCCATCTTTCCTTACCATATTAAGTATCTCAAGGGCAGCCATTGGTTTTATTGCCCCATGCCAATGCCTAGTGTGTTATCTGAAAAATTAAGTACCCAAGAAATATTCATGTTGTAAAAGGCTTTCTAAAGGCTGAATGTAGGCAGAATATTATTCCTGTTGTTTGTGGTACAAAGAGACCTTTCTCTTGGTACCTCTTGATTCACATGGGAGAACGTTTTAAAGTAAACACTGTCATCTCGAGCCCTTCTCCAGTGGTTTTTCATTCCATCTAAGCCTACATTGACTTGGTGGGCATCCACTGTGAAGGTAGCCCCAAGGTCAAGGCTCTGGGGTCTGGGGCAAGGCCTCACAGTCACATTCCCCTCCTCTTGGTGTTGGTGCTTCCCAGGAGAACCAACCAGTTCTGTGTTTATTCTGTCGATGGTGCTGGTCAGATGCACAAGGAGCTCTGGAGTAAGTTTACTATTCCCTTCTTTGCTACTCAGCACAAGTTGTTCTTGAGGAGGTTGATGATATTGTGGGCATTCTTCAGTTTTCCCTGGAGCTTTCTGAACTCAGCCTGAAGACTACTCTCACTCAGACCCTCTTTGGCAACCACAGTCTCAACCACCACCTTGCCCTTCTCCTTGTCTTCCTCAATCTCCCATCCCTCAGACATTTCTGCTCTTTCAGCTCTGCATTCTCAAGGCAAAGATGGGTTCTGGGTCTCCACAGTTGCCAGACTTTTCTCCAAAGCCACCTTGAGGAACTAAAAGAAAATCATGCTTTGAAGAAGTTAGGCCATTAAAGAGGGCCCAAGAGAAACATGAGATTGCAAAGGTAGTTTTTGATGAGAACAAAAACAAACAAAAAAAGCAGATCTAAAATGAACTCCCTACCCAGAACCTCCTTAGTCAGGCAATAAGAGCAATAAGATCTCAAGACTAAGTTTTATTATTATTATTATTATTATTATTATTATTTGAGACAGGGTCTCGCTCTGTTGCCGGGGTGGAGCGCAGTGGTGAGATCATGGCTCACTGCAGCCACGACCTCCTGGGCTCACGTAATCCTCCCACCTCAGCCTCCCAAGTAGCTGGAACCACAGGTGTGTGCCACTACACCCAGCTAATTTTTTTTTTTTAATCGAGACGGAGTCTCGCTCTGTCACCCAGGCTGGAGTGCAGTGGCACGATCTCGGCTCACTGCAACCTCTGCCTCCCAGGTTCAAGCGATTTTCCTGCCTCAGCCTTCTGAGTAGCTGGGATTATAGGAGCGTGCCACCATGCCCAGCTAATTTTTGTAGTTTTAGTAGAGACGGGGTTTCACCATGTTGGTCAGGCTGGTCTTGAACTCCTGACCTCAGGTGATCATTCTGCCTCAGCCTCCCAAAGTGCTGGGATTACAGGCGTGAGCCACTGAGCCCGGCCCACCCAGCTAATTTTTTTTTTTTTTGAAATGGAGTCTCACTCTGTTGCCCAGGCTGGAGTACAAAATGGCGTGATCCCGGCTAACTGCAACCTCCGCTTCCCAGATTCAAGTGATTCTCCTGCCTCAGCCTCCCGAGTAGCTGGGATTACAGGCATGTGCCATCACACCCACCTAATTTTTATATTTTTAGTAGAGACGGGGTTTCACCATGTTGGCCAGGCTGGTCTTGAACTCCTGACCTCAGGTGATCTACCCGCTTCAGCCTCCCAAAGTGCTGGGATTACAGGTATGATCCACTGTGCGCAGCCCCGTGCAGCTAATTAAAAAAAATTTTTTTTCGTAGGCCTGGTGTGAAGGCTCATGCCTGTAATCCCAGCACTTTGGGAGGCTGAGGCGGGTGGATCACCTGAGGTCAGGAGTTCGAGACCAGCATGACCAACATGGCAAAACCCGGCCTCTACTAAAAATACAAAAATTAGCCAGGCGTGGTGGCAGGCGCCTGTAATCCCAACTACCTGGGAGGCTGAGGCAGGAGAATCACTTGAACCCAGGAGGTAGAGGTTGCAGTGAGCCAAGATTGTGCCATTGCACTCCAGCCTGGGCAACAAGAGCAAAACTCTGTCTCAAAAAAAAAAAAAAAAAGGCCAGGCTTGATGGCTCATGCCTATAATCCCACAACTTTGGGAGGCCGAGGCGGGTGGATCACTTCAGGTCAGGAGTTTGAGACCAGTTTGGCCAACATGGTGAAACCCATCTCTACTAAAAATACAAAATTAGCTGGGTGCGGTGGCACATGCTTGTAATCCCAGCTACTTGGGAGGCTGAGGCAGGAGAATCACTTGAACCCAGGAGGCAGAGGTTGCATGAGCCCAGATCGCCACTGCACTCCAGACTGGGTGACAAGAGTGAAACCCCATCTCAAAAAAAGAAAAAAAAAATTTTTTTTTTTTTTCAGAATGAGGTCTCACTGCATTGCCCAGGCTGGTCTCAAACTTCTGGACTCAAGTGGTCCCCCTGCCTTGGCCTCTCAAAGTGCTGGGATTACATGTGTAAGCCACCATGCCTGGCCAAAGACTTACTTTTACAGGAGGAGTATAAAACATCTCATTAGTAATTTTCATAATTGATTATGTGTCGAAATAATATTTTTGATATTTTGTGTCAAGTAACACTACTAAAATTAAGCTCACCTATATCCTTCTACATTTTCACTGTGGCTACTAGAAAATTTTAAATTACATCTGTGGCTCTCATTACATTTCTATTGGACAGCACTGGGCTGGGTGAGATGACTAGGGGCAGAAAGTACATTCTGAGGGCCAGACAATCAAGGTGATTGATACTGGGGTTAGGTTAACTGAAGGGTAGAAAAGGCCAGGTTAATAGGAGGCAGGGACTGAGTAACCGGGAACAAAGTTATCAGAGCATGAGAGAGAGATTCTGGGGGTCAGCCGTCTGGGATATTATAGGGAGGAAGGAGGCTGTGCTACAAGGGCCAAGAGACAGGAGGATGCACTCAAGTTGGCCTGGATGAAGGGACGACCCTCTGCGACTTGGGTGGGGGTAAGGGTGGCAGGCTGGGGCCAGCCCTGCACTCACCGCTTCTGCTTCCTAGAAGGAGAAACAGTGTCACTTGGTACCTCCACCTCAGGGGCGCAGTCAAGACACGCTGCCAGGCCAGCCTCTGCCTGACCGCCGGCTCACCTCTCTTCTTCCAGCTTCTTCCGCAGGAGGTCCCACCTCCAGGCGGGCATGCTGGCCAGCCGGGCCTCCTCCTCCTCCTGAAACACAACCACAAAGCTTCAGAGCCTGCAGGGGCTGGGAGATAGGGGGCACCCTCAACCTGGGGACCTGAAGGAGTCAGGGTCACAGGAAGTGACCCTTTGGATGCATTTCTGTGGGACAAGTGGATGGAGGTGCCTGGTCACACCCCCTCAGAGCTGGCCTCCTTTCCCCTAGTAACCCAGACCCTTGTGTCCTACAGGAGGCACCAGAGAGATCAGAGCTGAGTGGGACAGAAGCAGAGAAAAAGTAGCCGGGACCCAGAGGTCCTGAGCCTGATTCCCCACAGGGGCAGGTGGCCAATGGCCACAGGTCCAAGATCTCTGGGCAGACGCAGATGCGGGCCCCCACCCAGCCTCTTGGCTCAGGGAGATTCAGGCTGCCCCTGGCTCCCCTGAGAAGGACCTTCAGCCCATGGTTGCCCTCTTCCCAACAGAGTGGATACGTGCTCTACAATCGTGGGGCTGCAATGACATCAGGGGCAGGTGTGGTGTCCAACATAGGCAGTTTACAGCAAAGAGTTTTATTTCCTGAATATTACAGAGGAGAAAGGGTCTGTACACCGCACACTTCACACAGAACACTGCACACGTGGCTCCCTTGACCTCAGCCAAGGAGGTAGCTGTGAACTCCAGTGGAAAACCAGAGAGCAGGCCACACTGCCCCAGGGAGGAGCCGCAGCCCCTCACTCAGAGGGGCTTCTTCTGCTGCCTGGCTCCACACAGAGCTCAGCAAGACCACGGGGCCAGAGGGGGACACCTGGTTTGTTCTGTGCCTGCCCTGCCTATCCGACCAACGCCCCACACAGCCTGCTCACGATGGGACCTCAGAGGCTGAGGCAGCCTGGTCCTGGGCCCTCCGGGCTGCTCAAGGCCACAGTCCTGGGTTCTTCCCGCTGCTTCACGCCTCTGGAGGGCGTCAGACAGGCGTCCAGGCCCACGTTAAGACGCTCGAGGGTGAACTGCGAATTCCGAATTCCGCTGCTCAGATGTCAAACAGCTCTGCCTCCTTCTCCTTCCAGAAGGAGAAGCTGCGGTCGATGTAGCGGCAGATGTCCTCGTTGCTGAATTCGCCCATCTCAGACACTAGTTCCAAAGGGTCTTCGGCGGGGGCTTCGGAACCCGGAGAGTCTGAGATCCGGGGAAGCGCGGCGGGCGGGCGGGCGGGCGGGGGCGGCGGCTGCGGCACAGGGGCCAGGGCCTCGCGCTGCCCCTCGGGCGGGTCCCCCTTCTGAACCGGAGCGGCCTCTTCGGTCCGCTCCTGTTCTTTCCCCTTCTCTTCCTTTTTCTTCGCCTGTTCTTCGGGGGCCGGCCCAGCCTCCAGGCCGTTTCCGAAGAACCTGTGCCTGAGGTCCTCGAAGCCGTCGCTCCAGCCGCGCCGGCCGGCCTCCACCTCCTCCAGCACCACGCGGTGGAAGAGGCGGATGCGCTCCCACGGGTGGCTGTCCAGCCGGTGGAACATCTCGTAGCACAGTAGGTGGCGGAACTTGCGATCCTCGCGGCTCAGGCCCATCTCCGGTAGCTGGAAGTAGCCGAGCATGAAGAGGTCGAGCGTGAGGCTTTCGTAGCGCGGGGGTGCGCCGCCGTCTAGGGGCGACAGGAAGTGCTGGGGCCAGTACACGCCGTGCGCGCCAGGCCCGGGCTTGGCGGCACGTGCCGCCGCAGGCTCCGCCAGTGGTGCAGCAGCTTGCCCACTGCCTGCCGCTGCCTCAGCAGCTGCCGCAGCCGTTCGTTGGGGCTGTGGGCCTCGCCCTTGCTCACCGGCAGCCGGGGGGCGTCCGTGGCCTCCAGCTCCGGCCAGCACGGGCGGCCGTCACGCCAGGGAGCAGTCTGCCTAGGCGCGCCTGGTCCGCGGAAGGCCCGGTCCGAGGAAGGCCCAGAGGCGCCAGTGCTCCAGGAAGAGGTAAACGATGCGCTCCTTGCGCAGGTCGAGGTAGTCCTGGACGCCGCGCAGTTCCGTGCAGAGGGGCGGCCGGCGCGCCAGCTGCTCGGGCTCAGGTAGCGCCGCCTGGCAATCCTGTGCCTCAGGCGGGCCCAGGGTGTCCAGGGGCTCCCAGTCGGCCAGCGGGCCGTGGGCGGCGGCGGCGCTGGGCTGGCCAGAGCCGGCCGCCACGTAGTCCTCCTACAGGATGGGCTCGCGGACCGGGGCGCCAGCGGACTGCGGGGGCTTGCGGCGCGGACAGCGCGGGGGCGCCGCGTCCAGTGCGCGCAGCTCGTAGGTGGCGCGGTGATGCTGCACGGAGGCGCCGCACTCGAGGATCTCGCGCGCCACAGCCTCGCGGCACCAGTTGAGCCAGTGCGAGCGGCCCAGGCAAAGCGGCCCCGGCAGTCAGGGCGCCTCAGGCAGCGGCGCCAGCGGCTGGCCCGTGTCAGCGGTCGGCAGCTCCGCCAGGTGCGCAGGCCGGCAGCCCAGCGCGGCTAGCAGCGTGGCCATGCTCTTGAGCAGCGTGGAGATCTTGCTGCACCAGGCGGGCAGGCTGGCGGCGCGGCCATGCATTCGGCGCGGGTCGACGGTGAAGCGCGGCTCCACAGGGCGACGGAGATGGGCAGCAGCTGCTCAGCTCCAGTTGCTCCAGGCGCGCCTCCAGCTTCTGCGCCTTGTGCAGCACCTGCAGGTTCTCGATTGCTGCTCGATGCGGAGGATGTCGGCCTCGGTCATGAGCTCGCCAAAGGGCCAGAGGATGGCGTTGTGCTCGCGGGAGTACCTCCAGCCCTCGCGGGGGTACCTCCAGCCCTCGCGGGGGTAGCAGCACGAGCTGGCGGCCGTCAGCTAAGGCGGGGAAGACAAGAGAGGGGAGGGAGGCGCGTCTCCCTCTGGCCCAGCTCCCGCCGTGGCGCCAGGAACCTTTTGCATGTCCTGGGTGGTGTAATGGCTCCGCGGGGCTGCGTCTGCAGGGAGGGACCGCGTCTGGCCGGCGGGGGGTGACGCTGGGGTGAGGCTTCGGCCTGAGCCGCCGCTCCAGGCTCTGGGCAGTGTCCACTTTGGTCGCTGGCGGGGGGCACGGCCGGTTGCTGCTCGCTGCTGCGGCGGCAAGAACAGGCCAGCAGACGGGGTCTCCATGCCTGGCTTGTTCGCTCATTACACCACCCAAGGAACTTGCCAAAGGCCTTGAAGCTGAGAGGCGCGGTGGCCCGCCCCAACCCATCCGAGGGCGGCTATTGTGAGGCCTCTCCTCCCAGACTCATGACCCCTTCTCCAGCTCCCCTGTGGCCCAAGCCTTCCGCTCCCTGTGGTCAATGTTTTATGTGCAGAATGAGAGGCCACTCCTCTCTTAAAGAGGCTGCAGCTGCAGCTTCCACTGAGCTGCCCACCCTTCCCCTCCCTTCGTCGTGCTGGACAGCTGGGCACCGTAATATTCTCATTTGCTCACTTTTCTCCACCTCTGATGTCCAGTTTTCCCCCCTGGGCCTGCCATCGCCTCCACAGAGGTCCCTGATTCATCTTGACCCTATGGGATCCACTCCCCACATACAATTAGGAAGCAGCCTCTTCCCTGCTTAACACTCCCCGCACCCGGCTCCCCAGTGCTCCAGGAGAAAGTCCGTTCTCTTCTGGGCCTCTGGCCAGGTCTTGGTAACCTGGCCCCCACTGAGGTCTCTCCAGCTCAGCGACCCCCTTCCTCCAGGACAGTCAGGGCCACATCCACTCTCACTTCCAGACTGCCCTGTCCCACCTGCGGCTCTTCAGCCCCCTCTCCGCCTGGCCACCCCTCACTCGTCTTCCAAGTGTTACCTTAGACATCACCTCCTCCTTCCCTAACACACCCCCCAGCCCACGTATAAGGTGGCCGGTTAGGGCTGCCCCAGTCCCCTGCGTTCCCCATTGCAGCTGGCTGTGTTGCATCAGCCCAGGTACTTCTCTCCACTGCCACCCACTCTCTCACCCTGCCCCATTTTGTGTGCTTGGTGACTCGCACACATGTCCGCAGCCACCTTAGAGCAGGCCTTGATATGTTCACCATGAATCCCCAGAGGCTACAAGCGTGTGGGGCACATAAATGGCACTCGGGGGCCAGGCGTGGTGGCTCACGCCTGTAATCCCAGCACTTTGGGAGGCCGAGGCGGGCAGATCACTTGAGGCCAGGAGTTCAAGACCAGCCTGGCCAACATGGTGAAACCCCATCTCTACTAAGAATACAAAAATTAGCCGGGCATGGTTGGCGGGCATCTGTAGTCCCAGCTACTCGGGAGGCTGAGGCGGGAGAATCACTTGAACCCAGGAGGTGGAGGTTGCAGTGAGTCAAGATCGCACCACTGTACTCCAGCCTCAGTGACAGAGTGAGACCCTGTCTCAAAAAAATAAAAAATAATAAAAATAAATGGCATTCGGGGAATAGTTTTTGGATGAATGGAAGGCAACTCATCCTGCCAGCTGGTGCTGATCAGCTCACCTTACAGAGAAGGAAACTGAGGCTGGATGAGGCTCAGTATCGGCAGCTGGAAGGCGGCAGCGCAGCAATGGAGCCCAGGTCCCTAAGACTGAGACCAAAGCTCTCTTGGCTACTCAGTGTGGTCCTTGGACCAGTGTCATCAGCAGCCTCACCCAGGAGCTGGCTAGAAATGCAGAACCTCAGCCCTGCCCAGACCTCCTGAATCCGAACAGGCCTTTTAACCAGATCCCAGGTGCTGGGCAGGTGAAGGAGAGTCTGAGAAAGGCTGCTGTCTCACTCCAAGGACAAGCTGCTGGGGGTGTGTGTGGAGACTGGGACAAGCCCCAAACGGGGTCGTGCCACCCTGATTTCCCTAAAGAAGATGGCCGGGCATGGTGGCTCATGCCTGTAATCCCAGCCCTGGCCAACATGGTGAAACCCCGTCTCTAATAAAAATACAAAAAAATTAGCTGGGCGTGGTGGCATGCGCCTGTAATCCCAGCTACCTGAGAGGCTGAGGCAGGAGAATCATTTGAACCCAGGAGACAAAGGTTGCAGTGAGCCGAGATCATGCCACTGCACTCCAGCCTGGGCGACAGAGCAAGCCTCTGTCTCACGAAAAAGAAAAAAAGAAAAAGAAAGAAAGAAAGAAAATAGGAGGTCCCGAGGTTGGTGTTGGGGGTGGCGTGGGGGATGGGCTGTGCATCCAGATGCAGACCCCAGGGCTCCCTGGGCACCCCGCCCCACCCACTTTCCACCTCTGCTCCTCCTCCTCCTACATCTTCAGCTGCATCTTGCCCACCATCACCTGGCGCTTCCACTCGGGCTTGGGACGGCCCTGCTCATCGTGCGTGGGGATGAGCGCCTCCACGTCCAGCTGCACCCCCGGCGCAGGAGTAGTGGGCGGCACCGGAACCAAGCTTCCGTTGAGCAGCAGCTGAAACCCCGCAGCTGGCGGTGTGGGGCTCTGGACTGGTAACAGTGCAGGTGACACAGACGGCAGCGGCGAATCGGGCTGCAGGGAGAAGCGGTGGGGCTGAGCGCCTGGTGGCCTAGGGCCAGGGAAGCCGGGTCGCAGGCTCCTGCTGGGCCCGCCTACCTGGAAGGCCGGCTGCCTGCTGCCTGAGAACACTGTGGTCAGCCCCTTGCTCTGTGGCGTCGGCTTCAGGCTCTTGCCTGCCTTAATCTCAGCCAGTAGCTCTGAGTTGTCGCCCATCGGGAACATCACATTGAAAGACTTGGTGCCTATGCAGAGGCAGGAGATGAGGCACTGGCCAGGGTGGGGCTGCATCCCTGCCACCCCTCACCTGCCCCTCTGCAGCCCCCTTCCCAACCCAAGATTGGATGGGTGCCCATCCTCGGGGCCAGCGGGCAGCTCTCCAGATCCCAGGTCCCGCAGGCAGCTTTCAGGGCCCCCAGAGGCAGGCCCTTGGTTCCCCGACTGTGGCAACCCCACCATCCTCCCCCACCCTACTCACGGGATGGAGGGCCCCTGCCTGGAGACCCCTGGGAGTTCATGGTGGCTCTTGGGCATATATTCCTGCCCAGCCACTGACTGCCCAGCCCCAAAACACTACCTGGAATCAGCCACCGGACCTTTGTCCCAGGTTTCCTGGCTCAGCCCGGCTGGGTGGAGCCTCCCTCTGGCCCTCTCCCTATATCAGCAAAGCCTCAGTGACCCTTGAGCTGAGTCAATTGGGGCCTCCATGGACATGCAGAGTCCAGACCCCGGAGTGCCAGTACCACCTGCTCCCCTCCCTCGCCACCACACCCACAGACAGACGCACAAGCAGACACATTGGTTGCAAGCCGGGAGCACATTTATGGCAAAGCACGGCTCAGCTCTAGGGGAAAGCAGAGCCCTTACTAAGGCCACAGGAGGCACCCAGGAAGAAGGGCAGGCAGGTAATATGCAAACACCCAGGGCAGAGGGTGCATTTTCTGGCTTAGCCGGAGGAGGCGAATGGAGATTTGGAGAGATAGGTCTCTTGAGCCCCGATGAAGGGGTCAGGTCTGGGAGGGAGGAATAAAATGGGCCGACAGCTCTTGGATTCCCAGGCTGGGGATCCCAGAGTGCAGTCACCGGGAGGAGAAGAGTAGGAGAAAGGGAAAATCGGTGTGGCTTATTCATTTATTTAGGCAAAACCATCAGCCAGGCGCAGAATGCTTGGGTGCATATGTGGGTATGAGGGTAGGTATGAGGTACAAGGCCCCACCCATGCATCGAGGTTCTCTCGCCTGCCAGCCCCTGCCCCTGCCCTTTCCTCAAGGCTGGGCCCCTCCTCCCGTGCTTTTCCTGCCTCTTCCCCCCACCCCGCGCCTCAGCCTCAGCCAGGAGCCGCGCACGCAGCTACTCACTCTTCCTGTGCCTCAGGACTCTCACTTCTAGGGACCAAGAGGAGAGAAGTGACAGCGGAGTTAGGAGGGAAAGGGGGCCAGGATGAGACTGGGATAGCAGGGGACAGGGAGCGGGCCAGGGAGAGCAGGAGGGGGGAAGTGGAGAAGAGAGGAGGAGCATTTCTGCCCATCTGACCCTGGCTCAGGCTGCTCTGGGGCCCCATGAGGGTGGTCCATCGAGTTCCTGGTTTGGCTGGTGCCCCTGAGGGCTGGGCAGGGCAGGGCCACCAGTGGCTCTAGCCCCCAGCAAGGGCCTCCACCTTGGCACTGGGTTGGGGTAGGGCACCCAGCCCTGGCTGTGCTGGGTGGGGGTGTCTGGGGAAGCCCAGAGTATATTTTTCTCTGCCCTTAGCTTCAGCCCTGCTGCAGACTGTGGAGGGAAGGAGAAGGAGGCTCGGCAGGTGCTGGACATGCTTCCATGGGCTCTGGTCTGCAGGGGCTGGGGCTCCATAGGAACCATAGGGGGACAAGCTCTGCTCTGCACTCCTAGTCAGGGAGATGAAGCTTTGAGGGGTGCCACTAAGCATGATCTCTACCCTGAGTGGCTGGGTGAGGAAGGCACCCCAGCCAGGCTGGGATGGGAGCACCACATCTAGGCACCCTGTCCTGGGCCTTCTAGGTGTCCTGGCAGGGGGACACTGTCCCACCCTACAGAAAAGAAGCCCAGGAATCCTGCGCCAGTCTAGCTCTTAAAAAAGGATGCCTAGGGAAGTCACCGGGGAGGGAGGGGGAAACATGGTGGGTCACAGCTTTGCCCCCATAGCCAGGCTCTGGCTGGCCCAGGGCCCCTGGCAGGAACTGGCTAGGAAGAGTTCCTGGCATATCTAAGAAGGCTTCAGGTCTGTGCTGCTTGGAAAGACAAGAGAAAGACGTGGAGAGAGGAAGAGAGGCTCAGGATAGACAGGGGCAGGGGGAAGGGTGGCCAGCTGCGGGGCCTCTCTGAAGCTGGTTCGACTTCAAGTGTCCCTCCAGTACCAGCTCATCAGAAACACCAGCACCAGCTCATGGGAAACACCAGCGCCAGAGCTGGAAGGCCCTTTCTAGCCCGTGGGAGGCAGGCCCAGAGAGGGGAGGGGACTTGTCCAGGCCACACAGCTAGAGGGTGGGAGGCAGGCCCAGATTGGGGAAGGGACTTGCCCCAGGCTGTGCAGCCCGGTCCTGCTTTGGCAGGACCTCAAGCAACCCAGAGCCCTCTCTTAGGGTCAAGTACTCAATGGGGTAGGGGTGGCCGGAAGACCATGTAGAAGAGGAAGGACCCGGGCAGTGACAGCTGGGGAGGGGGCGGTGTCTAGATTTCCCTCCCCTTTCAGGGCTAGCGCCGCCCCCCACCCCTCAACCTGCCCCTACTCACTGCCGGTGGGCGAGGAGGAGCGGCGCTGCCCGCAGCCAGGGCCAGCGCCCTCGAGGGGCAGAGGCGGGACCAGCGGCGGCGAACTCGCGGCCTCGGGCAGGGGCGGCGGCGGCGGCGGCGGCGGCAGCAGCTGCTGCTCCCTGGACGCCTTGGGGTCCGCGGCGCAGCCATTAGGCACGTGGTTCCCAGGGAGTTCCGCCTGCGGGGATGAAGGTGGGGGCTCACCTCCCAGCTTAGGGAGAGGCTGAGGGGTCTGGGTCACATCTGGCCGGGGGCGCGTGCAGAGCCGCGGTCAGGTGTGGCAGAGCAGTTGGCGCCCACGTAGCATCCGCGACGACTGCGCCGCCTGCGGGGGAGCGGAGGGGCCTTCGAGCGAGCCGCGGGCGGCAGGGCCGAGGCGCGGGCAGCCGGCGGGCGCGGGCTGGCGGGCACGCACCTCCTCGCGGTGCGCCATGCCCGGGCGTGCGACCAGCGTCTCGCCGGGGCAGCGGCCCAGCTGCCGGTAGTAGTCCCCCGTGCTGGGCTGCTTGCTGAAAGCGCGGGGCTTGCGGCTGGAGTCCTGCCTCCGTAGCCCGTCGTGGCCGTCGCAGGAGCTCGGCTGCGGGAAGACAGTGACCGGTGGGGCTCGGGCAACTGCCCGGTAGGCGCCCCCCACGCCTCCCCACCCAGCTCTTCACCTCCTGGGAACTCGCGGCCAGCGGCCGTCGGGGGGTGCAGCAGCCGACTTCCTAGACCCCCTGTTCTCACGGTGGGCAGCGGGCGAGGTTCATGGGGGCCTCGGTGGAAGGGCAGGCTCCGCCCGCCTTACAGGGAGGGGTTCTGGGCACCGGCCAAGGGGCACAGGGTCCCCCACTGAGGCCAGAAGGGGCGGGCCCAGGGGCGGGGTGGCCCAGCCCCGACGCCAGGGGGAGCTAGAGAAGGGGCACCTCCCAGCTTAGCCTTCACTAGGCCCTCGGCCGCACTCCGCTCTCGGCTGTCAGAAGGACTGCGGGTCCCCAGGGCTCCGCGGAGCCCTGTCTTTCGGGGGTCCCGGGCCGGAGGGAGCCCCCTCCAGAGCCTGTGCTCTCCGAGGCTCCGGCTTGCCCCGGACCCCGCTTGTCCGTCTAGGGGCTGCTCCAACCTGCCACGGTGCTGGTGGTCCTGCTGTGCACCTGGCGGCGGGGGCGGCAGGACCCGACACCTGCTTTACGTGATACTTCCTCTCAGGTTACAGACGCCCGCGCACGGCCAGCCTATGGGCTCCGACGGCCTGACATCACCCGGGGCCCGCCAATCCCAGGCCGAACCCCCCCCAGCCGTCGCGGATGCCACGGGGGCGCCAACTACTCTGCCACACCTGGCCGCGGCTCTGCACCCGCCCCGGGCCAGATGTGACCCCGCCCCCTGCGCCTCTCCCTAAGCTGGGAGCTGAGCCCCCACCTTCATCCCCGCCCGAGAGGAGAGAGGGCTGACCGTGGGCAGAGGGGGCCTCTCATATTTGGCTGCCGGCTCCGGGTCGCGTCCCCACCGTTTCCCTCCTGCATCTGGAAACCATCGCCATCCACGAAAGCGACACCGACACCCGCGCTCAAGCCTCGGATTTCAGGGGCCGTAAGGCGGGGTCGGGTGACAGCGCGGCTTCCCGCCCCGTCGCAGCTGCCCCCAACTAGGCCCAGCTCAGTGAGGGAGAGTGAGGCGGCCGGGCCAAAGACTGAGTGACCGGGTGGGGGCTGTCCCCTGCCCCACTCTCCAGCCCATGCGTCCCTGCGGTGGCCTCAGACCCTTCACCCCGCCCGACCTGGCTCACGTTGCAGGAAACGCGACACCGCAGGATTCGTTTTCTGGGCCAGCCCGCCGGCTCCGCGCCCCCTGCAGCCCGGAGGCTCCGACGCCACGACCCTGCTCCCACCTGCGGTCAGGCACCCGCGCGGGAGGCGCCGCGGCGACACAAAGAGCCCTTTGTAGAGCTTCCCGGCCCGGGCCCTGGCGTCTGCGGCCCAGCACGCACACAGCCGGGAGGGACACACACAGCCGGGAGGGGCACACACAGCCGGGAGGGACGCACACAGCCGGGAGGGGCACACACAGCCGGGAGGGACGCACACAGCCGGGAGGGGGCTCGCACAGCCAGGAGGTGACCTCACAGACCTGGCACTTGGGCTCAGCGGTGGAGAGGGGGCACTGGCTGGGCCACCTGTCCTGTGGATTTGGGCGGGGCCCACAGTCTGCGCCGGGAGCTCAACGATTCCAGGGCCCCTGCAGCCCTACCCGCCCGGCCCCCTCTGCCTCCCAGAGATGAAAGGGGAAAGCCACTGTGGGAGCTTGGTCTAAGGTGGCGTGAAGAGGGCAGCTACTGGAGCTGGCCTGCAGGTTTGGTGTCCCTCCCATGCCTCCCTTGCCCACTGGCCTTGTGACCTGAGTCACCTTGTATGAATTGGCCCTGGGGTGGCTTTGCCTTGGGCTTAAGAGAGAACTGCAAGGTCCCAGGCTCCAGCAGGACCCCAGGGAGCTGCCACACCACATCTGGCCACCTGTGACCTCAGGCTGTCCCCTCACCTCTTAGACCATCCTTGCTCTGTTCCTGTGGCCAGAACGCCAGTGTTCCCCAGGGCACCCTGCCGAGGATACCCGCAATTGCTCAGACCAGACCTCTGCCCCAATCCCTGCTCCAGAGCCTCAGCCAGGCGCCTGCAGGCCCCAGACATCCCTAGGCACCTCACACTTCACCTACCCACCCTGCCCTCATCCTCTCCACACAGGCTCGCTTCCCTCCAGGGCTCCCAGCTCAGGCCTGGCCCTTTCCCCCAGGAGCTCAAGCCCTAAACTGGAACCAGCCACAGCTTCACTTCCTCCCAGCCCCTACTGCCGGTGGGCGCCCAGCCCTGCTAGTGCCTGCTCACCTTCCTCCCTCCCTCCTTCCAGCCCTTACCTCTACAGCCATGCCACTGGCACCTTCCACCTGGCAGCCACCTCCCTTGGGTGACACTCTCCGACTGAGCCTGGGGCTGTGGGGGTGGGGGGGCATGCTTGGGGAGGGGCAGTCTCCATGCATTCTCTGTCAACTCCATGACAACCCGGCCACTCTGTGCAAGAGGTGGCACAGGCCCAGTTCCTGGTGAGGAACAGCTGTCTGGACCTGCGTCCTTCACCCCCCAGCTCCCATGGAGGACAGTGACCTGCTCTTACTCTCCTCCCAGTCCAGTGTCCAGCCCTGACCCCTCGTGGGACTCGCCAGGAGCTTTGACTCTTGAATATGCCATGGACCCAGGGACCCCCACCCTGTGCCCACTAGTGAGGCCAGGCCTTTGGCCTGACTGGCCCCCATCAGCCCAGTACCCCTGCTGGGAGGCAGGCAGTGGGTGAGGGCTCACTACCTCCTTCTTGAGGGCCTCTGTCTCCACGTGGCGGAGTTTGTTCTTGGTCTGCATGTAGATGTCAGCTGCCTGTGGTCCCACAGGAGGCTTGGGAGATGGGTAGCTAGGTGGGGGTGGGGGCAGTTGGGTGCCTGGGGGCGGGGGTGGCGGGGGGAAGCTGGGTGGGGGTGGTGGGGGTATGGGCTTCCCAATCGTGCCCCAAGGCAGGCCCAGCTCTGGGTTCAGCATGTCCATGTAGCTCTGTATGTCTGCAGCTCTAGTGCTGGGAAGCCCTGGGGAGGCAGAAGGAAGGGCCAGATTTGGAAGCATGCAGACAGGCTTTCCCCCAAGAATGAGACTCTCCACCACCTGGAAACAACTTGCCGAGGGCCAAGGTGGGCTCCGGGCACCACTTGGTACACCTGTTGTGGCCCCTGGCGTTGCTGGGCTTCCTCTCCCTGGCCCTGCCCTGCCCCAGCCCAGCACTTATTGGGGGAAGACCAGGCACTCCGGTTTGGAGGGGAAGCACTGGAGGCTTTCGTGTGTCTAGAGGGCAGGGTCACCTGGAAGGGGAGGGTCTACTCCTTGGGAGTACAGATGGCCACATCCAATCTTTGCAGGGCACCCTGCCAGGTCTGGAGGCCACCATCTGGTGGCGTGAAGCAGGCATTGCAAGTGGATGGACGCCCATGCTCAGGGCACGGTCAGGGTGTGTGTACACACAAGCCTGCAGTCTGCCGAGGCGATTGTGAATTTGTGTATGTTTGAGTGTGTACGCATTTGTGCACATGCTTCTTTGTATTGATGAATGTGTGTGCATTGCTCTGTGGACATGGTGTGTGTGTGTGTGCATATCTGTAGTATGGAAATAGAGCATTGTGTGCTTGTGTGTAAGGTGGGTGTGTGCAGATATTAGCCTGGCTCTGTATGTGTGTTCATATCTGTATGCTGTGTGTACACATGTACAAGTGTGTGCTTTTGTGTGTGAGTAGCTAAGAATAATGAATGGTGGGCGGCACACGTGGATTTTGTGGGTGGGGAGAGTACATGTGGATGTACATGTATGTCTGTGATGAGCACACACAAGTATGAGTGACATCTGTCTCTCACCAGAAAGGGTGTCGCCTCCCCATGTTTAAAAGCAAGTGATGAGAGTAGTCTTCGATATTGGCTGTGGCAGGCTGGCCCAAGGCCAACCCTCACAGCCCAGCAGTCTGGCTTCAGTCTGCTCTCCCTCCCCCTCTTCCTCCTGGGCACACTCACCACGTGGAGGGTGCTGGCCCTTGATGCTGGAGTGGCTGGAGGAGCAGGAGTCGTAGTTGGAGAGGGTGCTGGTGGGCGAGCTGAGGTCAAAGTTCAGAGGCTGGACCGACACCGTGGTGTTGGGTGAGGACATGCCTGAATCCGGCTGCTTCGCCTCCAGCTCCACGGATGGATCCCGGGAGAGCACGCAGTGCTCCATGCTCTGAAGGGGAGGCAGGGAGGCCATGAAGGCAACTGCACCCCAAGATGCGTTGCTCTCCAGGCCAGGGTCCTACTCAACCATGCCTTTGCCGTGGGATCTTGGCCAAGCCACACCCCTCTCTGGGGTCTCTTCCCCATCGCTAGAGGGTCTTTCAGATTCCTCCGGGTTAAGATTCAAGCCCAGCCCCGCCAGGCAGAGGACCCAGGTTCTTGGGAAACTCCCTCCCCTGGCTCCTCCCTGATTAGGAGGGTGGAGAGATCGACGAGGAGGGGGCCTTGAGCTGCACCCCAGGGGGAGAACTGCCAGGAGATCGGCCTTCTCCCTCACAGATCGGCACAGGCTCCATGGGGAAGGGCACAGCACAGGCCCATCCCTAGTGACCTGGCTGGCAAGCCAGCTCTCCTTGCCAGACCTGGGACCTGGAGCAGACTCCCAACACCAGCCCGGCCTGTCTCCTGATGGGGCCCTTGGGGTAAGGGTAGGGCCTGGATGGCCAGCTGAGCAGTGATGGGCAGCCAGAGCTCAGGCTGCCAGGCTTGCCATTCCCCCGCCCTGCCCGGTCTGTGCGTCTGACCACAGGCCTGTCCCCTCCCGGTGCAGAGGGGGCTGTGGTAGGGGCCCTGCTTACATTGCCCATGCTGCCCCTGCTGCCGGCAAGCCCGCTTGCTCCGCTGCCTCCTGCCCAGGCCTGCTCCTCCTTGCCCCGTGCCCCCTCCCTGCCTAAGAAGTGTCACAGGCACCCTGGGAGAGAGAGGCAGGCCTGGCACCAGGTAACGGCTCAGCGGCCGTGCTCATTGGCCCCGTAATTAGGGGCTCTGCTGGAGTGTTTGCCTTTTCTGGGCCAGCGTCTTCTGTGGCTTGGGTCTGTCCCTGCCTCAGCTGGGCCTGCTTGAGTGAGGGGACCAGGGCACACACACCCCACCCATTCCAGGGGACCAGGCCCTGCTACCTACCGCAGGAGTCAGGGGAGCCATAGGAGGTGGCGTGGGCAGCACCCAAAGGTGCTCTTTACCTGGGCAACAGCAGTGGGTGCTGAGGGCACCAAGCCCTGACCCCTGTAGGCAGCAGATAAGAGGCTGGGCCTCAGCAGGTGTACTGCGCCTGGCCTGAGCCACCCAGCTCTGCAGTCTGGGACTGTGGCTTCAAACTTCCCCTCCCCGACTTACTAGCTATTTCGGGTGAGTCACCTGTGCTTTTTGTGCCTAAGTTTCTTTATCTGCAAATGGGGGTAACAGCACTACTTGCTCTGCTGAGCTCCAGGACATGGCGCCCAGTAAATGCCATACTGTCAAATTTTTTTCTTTTCTTTTTTTTAGACGGAGTTTTGTTCTTGTTGCCCAGGCTGGAGTACAGTGGCATGGTCTTGGCTCAGTGCAACCTCCACCTCCTGAGTTCAAGCAATTCTCCTGCCTCAGCCTCCCAAGTAGTTGGAATTAAAGGCACCCGCCACCACACCCAGCTAATTTTTGTATATTTAGTAGAGATGGGGTTTCATCATGATGACCAGGCTGGTCTCGAACCCTGACTTCAGGTGATCCACCCGCCTCAGCTTCTCAAAGTGCACGCATGAGCCACCACACCCGGCCTGTCAACTTTTTTATTTTATTTTATTTTATTTTTAGACAGAGTCTTGCTCTGTCACCAGGCTGGAGTGCAGTGGCGCGGTCTTGGCTTACTGCAACCTCCGCCTCCTGGGTTCAAGCAATTCTCCTGCCTCAGCCTCCCGAGTAGCTGGGACTACAGGCGTGTGCTACCACACCTGGCTAATTTTTTTTTTTTTGTAGTTTTAGTAGATACGGGGTTTCACCATGTTGGCCAGGATGGTCTTGATCTACTGACCTCGTGATCTGCCCGCCTCGGCCTCCCTAAGTGCTGGGATTACAGGCATGAGCCACCGCGCCTGGCCTGAGCCACTGCACCCAGCCAACTATTTTTTTAATGTACTGTGAAGAGTAACTGAGATTACACCTTTAAGGCACTCGGCAGGGTACCTGCCTAAGTCAGAATCCAATGAATAGTGTTTGCTGTCCTATGACCACTAGCAGCTGCATCCAGACAGGCCCTCAGGTGCCCTGGGCTCTGGTGCCACCCCCCATGGTCCCTCGACAGAGTCACAGGCTCTCTTAACTGATGGGGACCCACCACTGATGCAGAAATGTCCTTCCCTGTGTCCATCCTGGCTTATATACCCTAGTGACAGAGTGCTCACTACCTGCTGGGCCATTCATTCTCTTCCAGAGACTCTTTCTCGGGGGGAAGTTCACCCTCAGGCCCGCCTGCAGCCTCTGGCCTCTGGGCCTTGCTGTGTTCTGCAGCCCCCAGAGCCAGGACCATCCCCCTGTGCTGGCAGGGACGACAGATGGACAGAAGGTGCTCAGGGCACAGACCATCTGCCTTCTTCCCTCCGGGCCTCATTTCACAGCCCCTTCATGGCCAGGCTGCCCCATGGAGTTGGTCCGCATCCTTTTGGGGTTGGCTGTGAGGCCCACTCTCTTCCCTGCCTATTGCCTCAAAGCAGGCATTGTACCAGATGGTGCAGAGCCCTCACTTGGAGACATCCACAGCTGAGTTCAAGTCCCAGTAGGTCACTTCGTGGCTGTCTCACCATAAAAACATAATTTAAAAAGAGTAGCATGGGTTTCCAGTTATGACCCAGCCATGAAGTCAGCTAATATATGGTGCAGGGGCAGAGAGGTGGCTCCTGGTCAGGCCATCAAGGTAGGTTCTCCACTCTACCACTTACTGGTGATGCGATCCTGGTGCCCCGCAGACTCCCTTTACCCATATGTGGAACGGGACACTTACACTCTCTTCTGCAGAGGGTGGCTGTGAGTTATACCCAAGCTAATGTCTATGGGTAGGTGAATGAGCCTGCCTGTTCCCAATGGGGCCTGTCTTGTGATTTCTCCAGCCTTACCCCTTGGGGTGACCCTGTTCTTCCCTGTCCTCTTTCCGTTAACCTTTGTGCCTCTACTCCCTCAGTCCCCAGCAGGCAGTGGTTCTGGGCTGACAGGTCGTGTGGGGTAGCGGGCTTCACGTCTCTGAACCTCAGCTTCCTCCTTGGTAAAAGGGGTGACGACACCCACCACTGGGGTGGAGGGGCGAGAAGAGAGAATGCGACAGGAGCAGCGCAGGGATCGTACCAGGTTCTCCACCGTGCGCAGGTAGTGGGTGCAGTGGCTGTGGCCGTTGAAGTCCGACAGGTCAGCGGCCGTGTACCCGTCGCGGTCGCGGACTTCCAGCTCCGCGCCGTTCACTACCAGGATCTGGCAGCACTGTGGGGGCACGCAGTGAGGACCCGGCCGCGGCCACGAGCTGGGACCCCCGCGCCCGGGCAGGGCCGTGCGGAGAGCGCGGTGCCAGCAGAGGGCGCGCGCCCCCACCCCGGGCCCGCGCTGACCCCTAGCTCCCCGTTCTCGGCGGCGTCGTACAGCGCGGTCCCGCCCCACAGGTCAGCCGAGATCTCCCCGCCGTGCAGCAGCAGCCAGCTAGCTGAGCACCTTGCTGTGGCCGCGGCTCGCCGCGAAGTGCGTGGCGGTGGCGCCGTCTTTGTCCTGCTCCGACAGGCTCACGTCGGTGCAGCTCACCTGGGCGGGAGGGGCGGGGAGAGAGGGGCGGGGGATGGGGGCCAGGCCCCTGCAGGCCCCGCCCACGGTCCTCCGCCCCACTCCTGATGGCCCCGCTCCCTCCACTCCCCGCCCTGCCGGCTCCGCCCCGTCTCCCCTCCGCACCGCCCGGGCCCGGAGCTCACCAACCACACGATGACCGGGCTGTGGCCCATCTGCGCCGCGGCGTGCAGTGGGGTCATGCCGTCGTGGGCGCGGGTCCGCGCCGCATTCCTGCACCAGGTACTGCGTCACCTCCAGGTGGCCCTCCTGGCACGCCAGGTACAGGGGCGTGGCACCGTTCTTGGTTTGGGCATTCACTCCCCTGCGGAGACACAGCGCCCACCGTGGGCTTTCAGCGCCTCACCCCCTCCGAGGCCTCCTTACCCGCCCCCCTCCCCTCCCGGGGAGCCCTGGACGGCAGGGAGAGTGGGCGGGAGAGGGCCCTGTCACCGGCCCGCTGCCGCCCGGGGGGCTCCCCCTGGACTGAGTCCTGAGCCACCCTCCCTCAGAGGCCCCTGAGGGCGTCCCACCCAGCACTGCCCTGCCCTCAGTCCCACTTTTTTTTTTTTTTTTTTTTTTTTTTTTTTGAGAAGAAGTCTAGCTCTGTCGCCCAGGCTGGAGTGCAGTGGCTGGATCTTGGCTCACTGCAATCTCTGCCTCCCGGGTTCAAGCGATTCTTCTGCTTCAGCCTCCTGAGTAGCTGGGATTACAGGCATGCGCCACCACGCCCCGCTAATCTTTTGTATTTTTAGTAGAGACGGGGTTTCACCATGTTGACCAGGCTGGTCTCGAACTCCTGACCTCGTGATCCGCCCGCCTCGGCCTCCCAAAGTGCTGGGATTACAGAGCCACCGCGCCCAGCCTCAGTCCCACTTTTTAACCGAGGTCTACAAAGATGTGGTGAGCTGGCCTTTCCTCCCCTCTCGCCCACTGTCACCATGAGTCCCCACAACTGCTGTGTCTGACCTCTATCCCTTTCATCGTGTGCCCCCTCCATCTGGAATGTCCTTCCATCCTCCTCCCTCTTGAAGACTCAGTACCCATCCCTCCTCCATGAGGGCCACCCTGATTTATTTCCCCCTTGCTGGCCTCCGCCCCACACTGCCCAGGGCCACTATGAGCATGACCTGTCATGCTTGGTTGACCATAACTGATTTTGACCTTTGCCTCCCCCAGAAGACTGAGTTCCCAGCGGGCAGGGTGGTAAGGGTTGCCAGACAAAATGCAGTTCACACAGTTCAACCGGAATTTCGGATGAACGGATAATGCTTTAGTATTCTATATCCCAAATATTGCATGGGACATACTTATACTAAAATACAACTTTTTTATCTGAGATTCAAAGCTAGTCAAACATCCCGGGTTTTGTTGTTGCTGTTTTTGTTAATCTGGCAGCCCTCGGGATGTCCACTATGTACTGAATGCTTCTGCTGTGCTAGCTCTGGGCTACGGCACTGGCAAGAAGGTTCTTCTATTTTTATTTTTATTTTTGAGACGGAGTCTTTCTCTGTCATCCAGGCTGGAATGCAATGGCGCAATCTCAGCTCACTGCACCCTCTGCCTCCTGGGTTCAAGCCATTCTCCTGCCTGAGCCTCCCAAACAGCTGGGACTACAGGCATGTGCCACCACGCCTGGCTAATTTTTGTATTTTTAGTAGAAACCCAGTTTTGCCATCTTGGCCAGGCTGGTCTCAAACTCCTGAGCTCAAGTGATCCGCCTGTCTCGGCCTCCCAAAGTGCTGGGATTACAGGTGTGAGCCACTGCGCCCGGCCATCAACTATTACTGTGACCATCAACTGAGATTACACCGGTAAGGCACCTAGCAGGGGACCTGCCAGAATCAGAATTCAGTCAATGGTGCAGCTACAGCTGGGGAGGCTCACAGATGGAGCTGGGACTCTGTGCCATCACCCATAGTCCCACAACAGAGGCACAGACTCAGCTCTCTCCTCGGTCACACAGTTGGTAAGTGGCACTTGAACACCCATCTGTCTGTGCATGCAGGGCCTGGCTGGCAATATGGGCATGCCGGGAGTGAAGAGATGGAATGTGTCTCAGGGGCTTCTAGGGCCTAGTTCTCGGCTGTCACTGTCCCTTATCCTTGCTCTGCCAGCCCAGAGGGGGCCTACCTAGGGAACAGCAGGGCTGTCCTGGCTGCTGGGCTGTTGGGTGTGAACAGCCCAGGGTGCAGTTGCCACTGAAGGACACTAGGTGGAGCCACAACCTACCCCCAGACCCAGGAGAAGTTCCAGGTTGGGGGCCACGACCTATTGGGTTCCAGTTCACCTTTTGTGCCTAGGAGGCCAATTCCTCACAGGACTTGACATCCTGCCCATCTACCTCCCCCAGTCTTTCACCCCGTAGATCAACCACATGCTCCACCCTGCATTCATCCCTCGTTCACCCATCCAACTGCCCATCCACTTGTTGCCTGCCCATCAACGTGCACCAGGCTACCCCCCTTTGCCCACCCACCCTCTTGTTCCCAACACGACTCAGCCCCTCTTCTGACCCCTGTCACGTGTGCCCTCTCCCTCCCTCTCACACACATCCTGAGCCCCTCCCAGCTGGCATCTCCCTGTCCCTAAAGCCCTGGTTCTCTGTCCACTTCCCTGAGTCCTGAGACCCCAAGGCTGACTCTGACTGAGACCCCTGACTCTGCAGCCCCCATGGACCCCCACTCACTGATTTCTCCTCCCTCCCCACTCCCTAGACACAGGGCTGCCATTTGCTGGGGCTGATGCTGAGCCGGGCACTTCATGATGGTGCGGGGAGCAGGCACCATGCCTGGTGATCCAGAGGGGGTCCCGTCAACACAGATGAGGGAGACAGAAGACCCAGCTACGTATCTATCTTCAGAAACATGCTGGCTCGTGGCTGCCAGCCTCCACACCCCAGCGCCAGCGTCACCCCCACACACACTCACATACTGCTGCATCAGAACAGGCTGTTGAATATTTCATGACCGACGCTCAGCGGCCTAAATTTTTCACCCCGTAACCAAGGCACAGTGAGTGCCGGGGTCTTGGGGATCAGGGGCTGGTGCGGGCCCACTGGGTTCTTTCTGCAGAGGCCCATGGCGGTGTACACAGCGGGTGGGGGGCCAGACCTGCAGTGAGCTCTGCTCTCTCAGCACTCCCTACTTGGCAGAGATCCATGACCCAGGGGTGCCCAGCCAGCCGGAGAAGGTCTGAGAAGCTGGCATCAAGCAGGATCTGAGCAGCAGGGGGAAGTGGTACCCACGGCCTCCTGCAGGGCCGCTGGCTGGCACTCCCAGCCCAAGTTCCTGGCACGGAATGAGCCCTCAGTAAGTGCTGGAGCTCATCACCATTCTCATTAGTATTCCACCATCTGCACTCATGCGCCCCATTATGGAGTCAGAGCCTCCAGCTTGGAATACCCCAGAACATGAGGCAGATATGCTGTTGGGCTGGGTGGGAAGGGGTCCTGGCTCAACATCCCCTTCCACCTTGGCCTGAGGACAAGAAGAACAATGGGCACTCTCACAGTCACTGGGGAGTATTACAAAGATATGGATGAGCATAAGGACCAAAATGAAATTCCCATCACACACCTGGAATCCAAGCACCTCGGGAGGCCAAAGCAGGAGGACTGCCTGAGCCTAGGAGTTCGAGACCAGCCTGGGCAACATAGAGAGACCTCCGTCTCTACAAACAATACAAAAATGAGCCAGGTGTGTTGGTGCACACCTGTAGTCCCAGCCACTCAGGAGGCTGAGGAGGGAGGATCACTTGAGTCCAAGAAGTTGAGGCTGCAGGGAACTATGATCATACCGCTGCACTCCAGCCTGGGTGTCAGAGCAAGAGCCTGTCTCTAAAATAAATAAATAAATGAGAAAATAAACAAAATTCCCATCACTAGAGAGAGGAATTAATAAAAGTAATATTAGTAAATAATAATAATAGTGATAGCAGCCACCATTTACTGAATGATTACTCTGTCTCAAGCACTGTGATGAGTACAACACACACGTTCTCTCAGCTGGTCTTTGTAACAAACCCACAGGACAGGTGTTAGCATTGTTCTTCCAGTACAGATGAGGAAACTGAGGCACAGGAGCTAAGATCACTCTGTGAGAAAGAGGCAGAGCCCCGATTTGAGGCTGTGTCTGATGCAGAGCCTGCTTCTGACTCCAAATGTGCCACGTCTACACCCCTTCTGCTCTTGGTCGGTCTGTCCCTCTGCCTCCCTCCCTCCCTCCCACCGCACAGACCACTGCCCTTCCCCACAGACCTCACTGCTGGGAACTCAGGAACACTCTTTGACAGCTGCTGGGGCACAGCCCCGCAGGAGGACCTGGCTCGAGTCCCGTGCCTTTGAGCTGTGCCACAGTCTTGCTTCTTGTCTCTTTGTGTTCCCAAACCCATCCATGAAATGGGGGCAACAGTTGTCATCCTGACCTCGTGCGGAGTGCCTGAGAAGTGCCTGCAGAGCCCTGAGCACAGGCCTGGTGCCTGGCGCACAGCCATTGCTGAACTTTAGGATCCTTCCCTGTGCCTGGGAGGACCAGCCACCAGGGGGTTCTATGGCTGGCCTGGCGTGTCCGGGTGCTGCCAAGTACGGGCCAGGCTGGGCATCATTTCTGCTGTGGGGAACACTACCTAGAGGGGAGAGAATGGGTCTTGGGGGAGACCTCTGACTCCCAGACCCTTGCCAGCTCTAGCCCTGACCACAGTGACAGCTGCAGAAAAGTGCTCCCAGACCAAGCCCTTGCCCTTTGCCCCGGCTTTGACCCAAACCCTCTTTGTAGGTCAGAGGCGCCCTGGTGATGATCGTATAAATCATGATTTGTTTTCTTTCTCCTGGGAACAAAGATGCTATGGATGAACTGTAACTATTCATCAAGTCACCTCTGATTACACAAAAGAAACATGGGTCCCCCGTGTGGGCTGTGGGAATCTCTGGCGGAGACTGGTGCCAGCTGACTGCCAGCACCGCCGCAGGGAGTGAGCTGCCCATGGAGCCAGAGTCGGGCTGCAGAATGATTCCCACAGCCCCCCCCCCCCACCACTGCCAGTCACGCCTCCCCAGAGGGAGGCCAGGAAGAGGCTGTCCCTCCAAGGATCAGTCTGGTTGTGGCCCGTGACTGCTTTCAATTGAAATTCACGGAGCCTTTGGTGGATCTACGGCTCTCGGTGTCCTCCAGTCAAACTTCCCGGCCTATGTTAAAAGATTCCCAAGTAGGCCTGGCCCAGGGAAGAAATGCAGCCCCGATTTGAGAAAGGTTCTACACCCCAGCCCATCAGCTAGCATGGAATAGTTCCAGAAGCCTACAGTTGCCTGCAACTCTCCCAGCCTCCCAGGTCTTCCTCCTGGCCCGTAATTAGGCCAAATTTGACCCCACCTGAGGCCTCTACACCTCCCCACATCACTGCCGGTTCCATCACGGCAGGGCTGTGAGGCCGACCCTCTTTTCATTAGGTTCTCAGCTCTCCTCTCCTCAAAGATGCCTGGCTTCCCTGACCCCTCAACTTAAAGAACCATCCCCATCGCTTCCTACCAAACTCCTCATTTCACTATATAGCACTTGCCACTCCTGAATTATCTTGTTCTCCTATTCCTCAGACCCATACACGCGTGGATAGAAGAATGTGTGGCTGACGTGATGACAGGCCGGGCAGTTGAGTGCACCCACTTGCTGTTTGTTGAATGAATAAATATGAGAAGGGACATCCAGGCCAGGAGTAGGGGATGTCTCTTCACTCATGGCCGCAGCCTGGTAGAGCAGGTTAGATCCACTTGCCAGATAGGCTCGGAAATGCCCAGAGGGGAGTTTTGTCTAGGGTCACATGCAATGAGCTGTAGGCAGAGTGGACAAGTCCCTGGGATTCCATGCCCCACTCATTCAGCAGATGTTTACTGGAGTCAGGCTCTGGGCATACAGAGCCGGGAAGACAAAGCCCCTGGCCTCATTAGTCAGGGACAGACGGGATGAAAACACACATCTGTCTGTGTGATGCAGGGCCCAGCCAGAAATCCGGGCATGCAGGGAGTGAAGAGATGGAATGTGTCTCAGGGGCTTCTCCTAGGGGTTAGCTTCCGGCTGTCACGCAGGATGCACACAGAACGCAAAGCCAGGCAACCATAGGGCGGCTGGGAGGCCAGGTGCAGTGGCTCATGCCTGTAATCCCAGCACTTTGGGAGGCCGAGGTGGGCGGATCACCTGAGTTCAGGAGTTCGAGACCAGCCTGGCCAACATGGTGAAACCCCATCTCTACTAATAATACAAAAATTAGCCAGGTGTGGTGCCATATGCACCTATAATCCTGGCTACTCAGGAGGCTAAGGCAGGAGAATCACCTGAACCTGGGAGGTGGAGGTTACAGAGAGCTGTGCCACTGCACTCAAGCCTGGGCAATAGAGCAAGAGTCGAGTCTCAAGGAAAAGGGCAGCAGGGAACAAGGCCAGCGGGAAAGTGAGTGGGCATCATGGGCGCGGGTGACAATTTCAGCGAGGCTCAGGGTTGGCCTTGCTGAGGTGAGGTCTGGGCAAAGACTTGCAGGAAGGCAGGGAGCAGGCGGGGATCTCTGATCCCTGCAGAGGGATCAGCCTCTGTGAAGGCAGGGGTGCTGGCCTGTTGGAGGGGACCACAGCCCGGAGGAGGGACAGCCTCTGGGCCATTGTAAGGAAGTGAGCAGCATTCCCTGTCAGTGACCAGAAGCCTGTGACGGGAGGTGCTCTTTTTTTTTTTTGAAACGGAGTCTTGCTCTGTTGCCCAGGCTGGAATGCAGTGGCACAATCTCAGCTCACTGTAACCGCTGCCTCCCAGGTTCAAGTGATTCTTATGCCTCAGCCTCCCAAGCAGCTGGGACTACAGGCGGGAGCCACCACACCCGGCTAACTATTTTTCCCCCTGAGATGGAGTCTTGCTCTGTCGCCCAGGCTTGAGTGCAGTGGCGCAATCTTGGTTCACTGCAACCTCCGCCTTCCGGGTTCAAGCAATTCTCCTGCCTCAGCCTCCTGAGTAGCTGGGATTACAGACACCCACCACCATGCCCAGCTAATTTTTGTATTTTTTAGTAGAGACGGGGTTTCACCATATTGGCCAAGCTGGTCTCAAGTTCCTGACCTTGTGATCCGCCCGCCTCAGCTTCCCAAAGTGCTGGGATTACAGGCATGAACCACTGCACCAGACCAGGACTTGCATTGTCTTTTCTTTTCTTTTCTTTTTCTTTTTTGAGACGGAGTCTTGCTCTGTCGCCCAGGCTGGAGTACAGTGGCTCGATCTTGGCTCACTGCAAGCTCCGCCTCCCGGGTTCCAGCAATTCTCCTGCCTCAGCCTCCCGAGTTGCTGGGACTACAGGCACGTGCCACCACACCCGGCTAATTTTTGTATTTTTTAGTAGAGACGGGGTTTCTCCATGTTGGCCAGGCTGGTCTCGAACTCCTGACCTCGTGTTCCGCCCGCCTCAGCCTCCCAAAGTGCTGGGATTACAGGTGTGAGCCACCACACCCAGCAGGACTTGTGTTTTCAAAGGCTGCGGGTGGACATGGACGGGTGAAGGCCAGGGCCTTTCAGGCTTACTGAGGACTTCCCCTTTTCCGTTCTGTAGTGCACAGCCTCACAGAGCCTTGGGCCCAGCTGAGCCCAAGGGGTTCAGGTAGCCCCCACGTGAGGCAGAAAGGGGGTTTCTCAGAAGCCCTGGGATGCCCCAGCAGCGTGCTGCTTACAGAGCCCCAGGGTCCAAGGCTCAGCTCTCCCCCTTAGAAGGGTAGGGCAGGAGCACTAGCCCCGGTTAGATGACAGCTGGGACCAGGAGCTGCTGGTGGAGACACGAGATGGTCTCCTGCTGTGAGGGGCTTCCCCGGACTCCACCAGGCCCTTCCTTTCCCAGAGCCTCCACGTGGGTCAGGGAGTCAAGGACGGCAGCCACCTCCTCAGTGTGGACACAGGCCCCGCCCCCACGCCCTGCAGCCAGGTGAACTGACAGACACCAGGGGTAGATCTGGGGCTGCTGATAAAAAGGAATGAGCCCCCACGGCCTGTGGCAGAATCAGGGACCACCCCAGGCAGAGCCTCCAGCCTTCTAAGGGGGA